>NT_187586.1:0-210133 GCF_000001405.40 Homo sapiens
CTGACCAGGCCTCCTCCAAACCATCCAGGTCATCAGAGACAAGGAGAGTCTGAGAAACCGTCCCAGCCTCGGGGAGCCTGAAGAGACAGAACGAGTAGATGCCATGTGGCTTCCAGGAAGAGATTGTTGGGGGCGGGGCAGGGGGAAGGACATCAGGGGAGAGCGAAGGAAGTGTAGGCCTCAGCAGCTGTGTGGCAGCACTGGCTTATTTATTTTTTATTTTTTATGTTTATTTTATTTTATTTTTTGAGACAGAGTATCACTGTGTCACCCAGGCTGGAGTGTAGTGGCGTGATCTCGGCTCACTGCAACCTCCGCCTCTCGGGTTCAAGTGATTCTCCTGCCTCAGCCTCCCGAGTAGCTGGGATTACAGGTGCCTGCCACCACATCTGGCTAATTTGTGTATTTTTAGTAGAGATGGGGTTTCACCATGTTGGTCAGGCTGGTCTCGAACTCCTGACCTTGTGATCCGCCTGCCTCAGCCTCCCAAAGTGCTGGGATTACAGGCGTGAGCCACCGCACCCAGCCAGCACCGGCTTATTAATGGTGAGATGTTAATGGGAAAACTGGGCCTGTGAGATATGGGAGCTTTTACTATTTTTACAATAATTCTGTAAATCTAAAACCATTCTAAAATTAAAAATTTATTTTTAAAATGCAATATATTTGTTTTCCTTTTAAAGCACTTCCCTCATTCTTACCCAACGGGACACACCTTCTCAAGTACTTAAGTAATTCTTTTTTTTTTTTTTTTTTGAGACTGAGTCTTGCTGTCACCCAGGCTGGAGTGCAGTGGCGCGATCTCAGCTCACTGCAACCTCTACCTCCCAGATTCAAGTGATTCTCCTACTTCAGCCTCCCGAGTAGCTGGGATTACAGGCGTCTGCCACCACACCTGGCTAATTTCTTATATTTTTAGTAGAGACAGGAGTTTCATGTCGGCCAGGCTGGTCTCGAACTCCTGACCTTTAATGATCCACCTACCTCAGCCTCCCAAAGTGCTAAGATTACAGGTGTGAACCACTGTGCCCGGCAAGTAATTCTTATGAACAAATTAGCCTTATAAAGTTGTCATAAACATTATGTGATGTGTGGCCAGGTTAGAGTCCTGTGTGACCCGGTCTGAGCTGGCCTCTGGGCAGCATGCCGTGTGGGGGCTGCCACAAGCTGATTCAGGGAGCACCGGCCTGGGGTGACGCACGCCTGTCGGGCGGAGGGCGGCCTGGGGTGACACGGATGGTGGCCTGGGATGACACGCGCCTGTCAGGCGGAGGGCGGCCTGGGGTGACACGCACCTGTCTGGTGGATGGCGGCCTGGGGTGACGCGCGCCTGTCGGGCGGATGGTGGCCTGGGGTGACGTGGATGGCGGCCTGGGGTGACGCAGATGGTGGCCTGGGGTGACGCGGATGGCGGCCTGGGGTGACGCAGATGGTGGCCTGGGGTGACGTGGATGGCGGCCTGGGGTGACGCGGATGGTGGCCTGGGGTGACGCGGATGGTGGCCTGGGGTGACGCGCACCTGTCTGGTGGATGGCGGCCTGGGGTGACGCGCACCTGTCGGGCAGATGGTGGCCTGGGGTGACGTGGATGGCGGCCTGGGGTGATGCAGATGGCGGCCTGGGGTGACGCGGATGGCGGCCTGGGGTGACGCGGATGGCGGCCTGGGGTGATGCGCGCCTGTCGGGCGGATGGTGGCCTGGGGTAACGCGGATGGCGGCCTGGGGTGACACAGATGGTAGCCTGGGGTGACGCGGATGGCGGCCTGGGGTGACGTGCGCCTGCACCGGGAGCAGCTTCCCTTGGCCAGTGCCCATGTTCCTCTTTTCATTTTTATCTTTTCTGGGGAGGGTAGGGGGACGTTTTACTGTCTTTCCACTGAATGTTATGACCCTCCCCACGCCCCTTGGAGGCACAGCTGAGGTGGGGCCTATGTCTGGCTCCAGGGGGCCCTGAAAGGTACTTTTTACACCTCCCACCCCTCAGCACTGAGAGACCTCGGGAGGGGTACCGGTGACAGGGACGCGGGCCCCACCTTGCTGAACCCAGCAGCGAGGGCATCTCTGCCTCTGTCCCTGGAGGCTGACAGCGGTAGTGTGGGAGCTGGGGCCTGGGTGGAGACCGGGTCAGAAACTCAGGTTTCGCCTGGGTGGGCCATGAATGTCCTGCCGAGGGTGAGACCCTCAGGGCTCTGGGTGGAGAGCAGCACCTGCCCAGAAGCAGTAGACCCTTGTCCCGGCTGCACCAGGGGCCAGCGACCTTGTGCCCTCCTCCATCCTGCAAGCCTCGGGCGGTGCTTGGCCTCACCTGCCTCTGTCTACTCAGGACTTTGAGGCCAGGCACTCCTGCAGGCAGAGAGGGGAATTTCTGAGACTGAAGTTGTTACTGGGTATTTTTTAACAGCGCTGTCTTAAAAAATAGATAGCGTGTCTCTGTGGCCCCGTCTATTCTTGCGGCCACACGAACGTGCGTGTGTGTGTGCAGCTTCCCTCACGGCAGCCAAAACCCAGAGGCCGCCCAGCGTGCGAACACGCCAAGGTGTGACTGTCGGCACGGCACTGCCGAGCCGTGGGAGGGACTGGGTGGTGCAGCGGCCAGTGGATCTCAGACCCTGAGCTGAGCACGACTGGAGAGGATGGGTGCATCCGAGCGTCTGCAGAGCACAGAGCGCGTCCGCAGAGCGGGTCCACACCTTGGGTGCAGCGAGCGGATGTGAGCAGTGTGCCTGTGACCAGGGCTGTCTGCACATCCGCCGGCCTAAGCTGCTGCTCACCGAAACCCACTGGGACTCTGGCTGAGGCCGGCCCCAAGGAGCTTTGCCGAGGAGGGAGCACCTTGCCCCTGCCCAGAGCGGTCCCTCGCATCCTCCTTCCCGTGAACCTGCATCTTTGGTTGCAGTTACAGCTCTCACGCTTCCATCTTATGAATCACAGGAGTCCCGTTGGTTTTGGATGAGTTGACACCAAAAAGACACAGGAGCTCTCTAGAGACACTTCCTGGGGGTCCTGCCGCGTTGGAGCAGGGAGGCAGTAGCTCCTGACGCCTTCCCTCCTACGTGGGCTTTGTGATCACTGATGGTCACATGCGGGGCATTCGGTGGCCTCTGTGTAGAGCCAGTGTCTTCCTGATGTGACACTGGGAACCACCAGCAGCCCAAGCACAGGGACCTTCTCCTGGCCACTGGGCGGGCTGCAAATGTGAGGGCGAATGTTGGGTGCAGGGTGGTGGAGGTAGCTGGGCCTTCCCTGCCGCGGAGGAGGCAAATGTGAGCGCGAATGTCCAGCCCAGGGTGGTGGAGGTAGCTGGGCCTTCCCTGCCGCGGAGGCGGCAAATGTGAGGGCGAATGTCCGGCCCAGGGTGGTGGAGGTAGCTGGGCTTTCCCCGCGGCGGAGTCGCCCAGCTCTGCCCGAGGCCCCTTCCTCCCGCCCCAGCATCAGGGGCTGTTCCACAATGGGTGTCTGGGGGTCCCTGCAGCCTCCCACCTCCCTCCTGGGAGAAGCCTGCACACACTGAGGGGCTGTTTGTTCTTTATTTGCAGAGGTATTGTGGCCAGTATTTTGGTTTTCTTATGTTTTGGAGTCACACAAGCTAAAGACGGGCCATTTTCCAGACCTCATCCAGGTAACTTGCCATTTCCTTTTCCGTGTGCCCCTGTGGCATTTCTGTTCTGAGCGGCCACTCTGTGTCTGTGCTGCTGGGTGTGAGTGTCCTGTCCTCCCCTCCGCCTGGCCCCTCCCCGAGGCCTCCGAGGCCACTTCCCACATGGACAAGGGCGTGGGGTTCTGAGCTGGCCGTGTGCTCCTCCTCCAACCACCGAGGGTCTCTCCAGGCCTTCTCTGGCCCTTTCACTCTTCCCTGTCCAGGGCTCTCCAGCCCTTCTCTTCCTGCTTCTGCCTCCTCTTTCCACAGACCAGAGTGGCCGAGGGCTCCAGATGGGGCTATGAGGCCGGGGGCAGGTGGGTGAGGGCACCAGATGGGGCTGTGAGGCCAGGGACTGTGGGCTCTAGGTGGGACTCTGAGACCAGAGGGGGCGGGGGTGGGTGAGGGCGCCAGATGGGGCTGTGAGGCCATGGGCGGGTGGGTGAGGGCTCCAGATGGGGCTGTGAGGCCATGGGCGGGTGGGTGAGGGCTCCAGATGGAGCTGTGAGGTGCCGCCCACCCCCTGCCCTTGAAGTGGTTGCCCAGCGCACTCTGCCTCAGCCACCACCCCACCTTATGGCCCTGAGTTCTAACAAACCCTCGTGGGCCAGAGCATCCCGCCAATCTCAGTGTACTCTGTCCCCCAAGTCCCACCCCAGGAAGGCGGGCTCAGGCTTCTGTAGGGTCGGTTGTTTCCCCTGAGTGGCCACACGAAGTAATTAGAAACATTTTCTGTTTCAACAGGAGTATGTATTATAGAAAATTTCGAAAATACAAAGATACTTAAAAATAAAGCTACCCACAAATAATAACCACTGTTAAATTTTCACGTGTTTGTGATACGGACATATTCACTTGTTTGTGTATACGGACATATTCACGTGTTTGTGTGTGCGGACATATTCACACGTTCGTGTACGGACATATTCACGCGTTTATGATACGGACATAATCATGTCTTTGTGTATATGGACATGTTCACGCGTTTGTGATACGGACATATTCACGAGTTTGTGTGATACGGACATATTCACGTGTTTGTGTGATACGGACATTCACGCGTTTGTGTGATATGGACACATTCACGTGTTTGTGTGTGGGACATATTCACGCGTTTGTGTGATACGGACATATTCACGCGTTTGTGTGATACGGACATATTCACGCGTTTGTGATACGGACATATTCACGCGTTTATGATATGGACATAATCACGTCTTTGTGTATATGGACATGTTCACGTGTTTGTGTGTACGGACATATTCACGCGTTTGTGATACGGCCATATTCACGCGTTTGTGTGATACGGCCATATTCACGCGTTTGTGTGATACGGACATTCACGCGTTTGTGTGTAGGACATATTCACATATTTGTGTGTATGGACATATTCACGCGTTTGTGATACAGACATATTCACGCATTTGTGTGTACAGACATTCACGCGTTTGTGTGATACGGATATATTCACGCATTTGTGATACAGACATATTCACGCGTTTGTGTGATACGGCCATATTCACGTGTTTGTGTGATACGGACATTCACGCGTTTGTGTGTAGGACATATTCACGCGTTTGTGTGTACAGACATATTCACAGCCTCGAAAGAGTGGAATCCTGAACACGTGGCTTTGTGCATTCTCCACTTCAGGTTCAACGACTTTAGTCATTTCCTTACTAATTTTTAAAATGACTTTAATCATTTAGGTTTAAATGACTTTAGTCATTTCCTTACTAATTTTTTAACACCCGAAATTTTAATGACTGCTTGTTTGCTGTCATTAGAATGTACTACATTTAACTAACTTATTTAAGCCATAATATTGTATATTTAGAGAGTTTCCAGTTTTATTTTAATAAACTAGGCTGTGGTGAATTTTTTCACGTATGCTCTGTGTAAATATCTGATTATTCATTTAATAAAATGTCCCAGAAGTGAGTATTGAATTAAAGGGCATACACAGTTTAAGCCTGTGATATGTGTTATAAAATTGGCCTCCAGGAGAGCAGTGTCTGCCCCAGGGTCAGTGCCATGGTGGTGAGTGAAGCTCCCCCACCCACAGAGGCCCTGAGCAGGGAGCCGTCCGGTGACCCAAGCAGGCTGGTCTTGCTGGCCCCTTCCTTGCCCAGGGCCTTGAGAGAGGGCTCCTTGAGTGCCTGGCAGGCCACTCTGCTGGCTGACAGCTGTGTGGGAAGGGCCCAGGGCCCTGTCTGCCCAGCCGGCTGAGCACAGACGGTCTTGCCTCCAAGGGGTTTGGATTCCTCAGCAGAGCCGTGGAAGGTGCAGTGATGGTGAGAAACTGCCCGTCACACAGTGAAAAGCCTGGCGCCGTGACGGTGAGAAACTGCCCGTCACACAGTGAAAGGCCTGGCGCGGTGATGGTGAGAAACTTCCCGGCACACAGTGAAAAGCCTGGTGCAGTTACGTGCTTGTTGGGTGGATTTGGAGGGAAGAAAAGCTGCCGGAAGCTCAACCCATGGCCGTCCTTGCTTGGAGATGCACCAAATCCCTCCTGGGTGGCGGCATCACTGGGGACTGGGACGCAGCCGTGAGTGGGACAGACTGGTCAGCAGGCAGCAGCTTGTCCTGGCATGTGACCCCTGGCACAGGGAGAGACTCCCGGGAGACCCTCAGCTCTGAGCAGTCAGGAGCTCTGGCGCAGGTCACCTGGCGGGATGTGGAGCATCTGGGCCTGAAGGTCTTGGCGCTTCCAAAAGCTCCGGCCGCGGCGTCTCTTGAGTTGTGGCTCGTCCCCTCCCACTGGGCAGGACTGGGGGTTCCTGGGGTGTTCAGTTTTTAGTCTGAGCTCTGCTCTACCTTTCTTCTGTCCGTTTAGTTTGCTTGGCATAAATTCCATATTACTTTGCCAATCTTCGATTTATTGACGGGGAAGCCTGTCCTGGAGCCACCTTCTTCCACGCGTCTTGTTAACTTGGGGGCCGGCAGGGAGCCCTCAACTCTCTGCAGTCACAACACATTGAAGTGGACAAGTGATGAGTCCTGTGCAGCGGAGGCTCTGGGTGGGGGGCAGGGAGAAGGGCTTTCTCCAGAAAGGTGGTCCCTGTGGGCTCTGCCCACCTTCACACTCCCCTGGGTCTGGCCCAGGAATGCCCAGTCCGGCAGCTGTAGCCGTAGCCATTAGTGACTGGGCCTCATGAGGAGGAGTGGAAATGGGCCCAGCCCGGCCATCTGGGGTGCTGCTTTCTTTGGAAACTTGAGTTGGCTGCAGCTCTGAGGGAGGTGGAACGTTCTGGGCCACTGAGGAGGGCATCCCTCCTGTGTGAACGGCATTTTCTTCCTGGCTCCCTCTGAAGGCTGTGTCAGCCACAGCATTTCCAGGGCTGCTGAGGCTGCCTGTCTGTCTTTCCCCTCTGGTGTGATGTTTAGAAAGACAAATGAGTGCTGGGGCCTGGGGGGTGGCCCTGGGGTCAGGGAGGTGCTGGAGCTGCTCCGGGAAGCGACCCAGGAATGCAGACCAAGGGCCTGCTGGGTATTCCGGGGCGGCAGCCTGGTGCTGGTCGGGTGGGAAGCGTGAGTGGGGAGAGGAGTCCGAGATGCCACCTTTCTGATCTGGGGAGCTGGGGCCTTCCCCAACAGGAGAAACATGAGAAAGATTCGACTTGGCAGTGCGGGGAGGGAAGTTAGTACTGGTCGTGGTGACCTGTGGCCCGCTCAGAACATGATGGTTTCATGGGTGTAGCTGTCCCCTCAGAGAGCGCCTGCAGGCCGGGCACCTGCTCCGAAGGCGTCCCCTTCAGTTGGCGAGCCCTTGTGGGGCGAGGGCTGCCCCGAGTTAATTTCACCACGAGCCCCTCAAACTCTTGGGCCACTGGGAAGTTTCCAGGTTCTTCTTATCCCAAGGCGTGAGGAAGAAGTTTGTGATCTCAGTCGTCTGTCTTGGGTCCCAGACCTCCCTGTGCAGCTTTTCCTAAGAACGCCAGGGCGTTTGTATTTCCTGCCAATGATGGCGGCTTTTCATGAGCCACGGGGGCCGTCTTCCCCTGAGTACGTCGGGGCCTCCTGCGTTTAGTCCGAAAACCTCACGTCTGCACGTCTTGCCGTGAGCTGCTCGGAGCCGTGGGAAGTCAGGAATTGAGGGATGGTTTCATGTTAGAAGTCTGTTAATGTAACTCATCACATCAACATGAAAAAATTGATCCCCTTAAATGCAGAAAAACAAAAATTCACATTCATCCATGACAAAAACTTAACATACTGGAATTGAAAGATTTTTTTAACATGATAAAAAGTATCCTAGCCTGGGCAACATGTCGAAACCCTATCTCTACAAAAAAAAAAAAAATACAAAAATTAGCTGGATGTGGTGGCACGTACCTGTGGTCCCAGCTACTCAGGAGGCTCAGGTAGGAGGATTGCTTGAGCCCAGGAGGCAGAGGTTGCAGTGCAACAAGATTGCACTCCAGCCTGGGCAACAGAGCCAGGACCTTGTCTCAAAAAAAAAAAGTGGCCAGCCACAGTAGCTCACACCTGTAATCCCAGCACTTTGGGAGGCTGAGGCGGGTGGACCATCTGAGGTCAGGAGTTCGAGACCAGCCTGGCCAACATGGTGAAACCCTGTCCCGACTGAAAATACAAAAATTAGCCGGGTGTGCTGGACACCTGTGAGCCCAGCTACTCGGGAGGCTGAGGCAGGAGAATCACTTGAACCTGGAGGTGAAGGTTGCAGTGAGCTGAGATTGCACCACTGCACTCCAGCCTGGGCGACAGACTCCATCTAAAAAAAAAAGGTATCCACCAAAAACCTACTCCAAACTTAACGGCGCAAGTTTAGAAGCATCACTCGTAAACACAAGGCAGGGATGTGTGCTGACTGCTTCTGTGCAACAATTTATGGGCAAAAGATTTGAGTACTGGAATGGAAAAAATGAAGAAAAAAAATTCACTTTTCAGAGAGAAATTGTGCCTAATTCTGAGTTACAGCTTTCTTTATAAAGGCTCTCCCAGGGGCCTGTGAAGGGCCCAGAAGAGACACTGGGTGTGAAGGAGCCAGGAGCCGGCCTGGGGCTGAGCGGGGCCGTGGAGGCCTGGACCGGGCGCACTAACGTTCTGTCGTCTGTCTTTGTAGCTTACTGGAGGTTTTGGCTCTGCGTGAGTGTGGTCTACGAGCTGTTTCTCATCTTTATACTCTTCCAGGTAAGCTGTTTTTCTGGGTTGGATACCTGGGAACTTAGGTGACAGTGTGGCCCCAGGCATGGTGACAAAGGAGGCCTTGCCCACACAGCCCTCGAGTGATGGGAGGAAGCAGGGCTAGACCCCCACAAAGTAGGCCGAGCTGCGGGGGGTCTCCAGGAGCATCTGTGCGGCCCTTGAGTGATGGGGGGCAGCAAAGCTAGACCTTCAAAACGTAGGCCGAGCTGCGGGGGGCCTCCAGGAGCATCTGCTGGTGGGGCGCTGACTGTGGCCATTTAGCAGGGCCACACTTAAGGAGGGCAGGGCCAGTGGTGCAGGCACAGAAGAGGGCAGGGCCAGTGGTGCAGCTGCCAGGGTGGCTTTGCCCACAGCTGTCGTATCTGAGTGCTGGTGGGGACTGGGCGTGAAGGGAGCCGCAAGTCAGGTCCTGCGATGCAGGCCAGCGTCTGCATGGCCGGGGCAAATCTGGGCCTCAGAGGGGACCCCAGCGCCAAGAGGGACGGGGTCTTTGTTTTTGTGTTTTGTGGTTGACCAGTGTGACTGTGTGTGCTTCTTCCCCATCCTGACCACATTCTGCAAGACGAGCAGGGTGCAGGTGGGAGACGCAGCTCCTTTGTAAATCCTGGGTCAGGCTGTGTTGCTGCTGCAAATGCCTACTTTATTAATACTCTTTGTTCTGTTTAACTTAGTGTAAACACACATTTTTGGGGCTGTCTTCAGCTTACAAAGGACTTTATTATTCCCAATCTTAAAACTCCATCAGTGCATGATGAGATTTTTTATCATCGTGGCAAAATTGACTTTTCTGAGGCAGTGTACATTCTGTGAATTTTAGCATTTGTGTAGACTTCTAGAAACACAATTAGGACGCACAAGAATTCCACTGGCCCTAAAACTCCTTTGTGTTACCCCTTGGTAGTCATACCCGGCCCTGACCCCTGACAGCTGGTGAGGGTTCGCTTCTGTCTCTTCTAGAATGGAATCGTGGGGTGGGCAGCCTCTTCCCACCCTGCACAGTGCCTCTGAGGTTCACCCAGGATCATGCGGTGGGCAGCCTCTTCCCGCCCTGCACAGTGCCTCTGAGGTTCACCCAGGATCATGCGGTGTGCAGCCTCTTCCCGCCCTGCACAGTGCCTCTGAGGTTCACCCAGGATCATGCGGTGGGCAGCCTCTTCCCGCCCTGCACAGTGCCTCTGAGGTTCACCCAGGATCATGCGGTGGGCAGCCTCTTCCCGCCCTGCACAGTGCCTCTGAGGTTCACCCAGGATCATGCGGTGGGCAGCCTCTTCCCGCCCTGCACAGTGCCTCTGAGGTTCACCCAGGATCATGCGGTGGGCAGCCTCTTCCCGCCCTGCACAGTGCCTCTGAGGTTCATCCAGGTTGCATGTGTCTTCCTGCGCTCCTCTTTCTTTTACTATTTATTTTTTGAGACGACGTCTTACTCTGTCACCCAGGCTGGAGTGCAGTGGTGTGATCTCAGCTCACTGTAGCCTCCACCTCCCGGGTTCAAGTGATTCTCCTGCCTCAGCCTCCCAAGTAGCTGGGATTACAGGCACCTGCCACCATGCGCCACTAATTTATTGTATTTTTAGTTTCATCTTGTTGGCCAGGCTGGTCTTGAACTCCTGACCTCAAATGATCCGCCTGCATTGACAGGGCACGGTGGCTCATGCCTGTAAACCCAGCACTTTGGGAGGCTGAGGTGGGCGGATCACAAGGTCAGGAGATGGAGACCATCCTGGCTAACACGGTGAAACCCCGTCTCTACTGAAAAATACTAAAAAATTAGCCGGGCGTGGTCGCGGGCGCCTGTAGTCCCAGCTGCTCGGGAGGCTGAGGCAAGTGAATGGCCTGAACCCGGGAGGCAGAGCTTGCAGTGAGCCGAGATCACGCCACTGCACTCCAGCCTGGGCAACAGAGCGAGACTCCGCCTCAAAAAAAAAAAAAAAAGATCTGCCTGCCTTGGCCTCCCAAAGTGCGGGGATTCCAGGTGTGAGCCACCACGCGCGGCCTGGGCTCCTCTTTCTCGGCAGTGACAGTTTCTCAGGCCCCTTGTTTTTGGTGAGCTGGACGGTTTCGAGGATTGGTCATGATCTAGTAGAATATCCCTCAAGTGACATTTGCAATTGGGAAGTGTGAGTTCACCCAGTTTGTTCTTTTTCAAGATGGTTTTGAATCATCTGGGTCTCTTGCGTTTCCAAATGAATGTGAGGGTCACCCTTTCCATTCCTGTGAAAAGAACAGGTGGAATTTTTTATGGGGATTGCATCGAATCTGCAAGTCTGTTTTGGGAGTAGTGTCATCCTGACAATATTAACTCCGTCAGTCCTTGAAGATGGGATGGCTTTCCATTTATTTAGGTCTTTAATTTCTTCCAACAATGTGTTACAGTTTTCAGAGTTTAAGTTTTGTACTTCCTTTATTACATTTACTCCAATTATTTTGTTCATTGTGTGCTCTTGTAAGTGGAACTGTTTTAATTTTACTTTTGCATTGCTCGTTACTCATGTATGGAAATGTAGCTCATTTTTGTGTACTGATCTTGCGTCCTGCAACCGTGCTGAACTGATTAGCTCTAATAGTTGTGGTGTTTTGGGGTAGACTCTTAAGAATATTCTATATTCAAGATTATGTCATCTACAAATAGAGATAGTTTTACCTGTTCCTTTCCAATCTAGATGTCTTTTATTTCTTTTCTTTTTTTTTTTTTTAGACTGAGTTTTGCTCTTGTTGCCCAGGCTGGAGTGCAGTGGTGTGATCTTGGCTCACCGCAACCTCCGCCTCCCAGGTTCAAGCAATTCCCCTGCCTCAGCCTCCCGAGTAGCTGGGATTACAGGCATGCACCACCATGCCCAGCTAATTTTTTTTTTTTAATTTTTAGTAGAGACAGGGTTTCTCCATGTTGAGGCTGGTCTTGAACTCCTGACCTCAGGTGATCCGCCCACCTTGGCCTCCCAAAGTGCTGGGATTATGGGCATGAGCCACCGTGCCCGGCCGATGTCTTTTACTTCTTTGCGTAGCTGCCCTGCCCAGAACCTCCAGCTCAATGTTTCCTAGAATAGGCAAGGATGGGCTTTTTTTTTTTTTTTTTGAGACGGAGTCTTGCTCTGTCGCCCAGGCTGGAGTGCAGTGGCACGATCTTGGCTTACTGCAAGCTCCGCCTCCCAGGTTCTAGCGATTCTCGTGCCTCACCCTCCGTAGTAGCTGGGATTACAGGAACATGCTACCACACCCGACTAATTTTGTATTTTTAGTAGAGTCGGGGTTTCACCGTGTTGGCCAGGCTGGTCTCAGAACTCCTGGTCTCAAGTGAGCCACCGCACCTGACTAATTTTTTAACTTTCTGTGGAGATGAGGTTTCGCCATGTTGGCCAGGCTGGTCTCAAACTCCTGAGCTCAAGCGGTCTGACCCCTTTGGCCTCCCAAAGTGCTGGGAGTATAAGCATGAGCCACTGTGCCTGGCCAGATGGACATTCTTATCTGATTCCTGATCTTAGGGGAAAAGCATCCAGTCTTTATCCCACTGAGTGTGTTAGCTGTGAGTTTTTCATAGATCTCCTTACCGAGTGGAGAAAGTTCTGTGAGTTTTTTGTAGATCTCCCTACCGAGTGCAGAAAGTTCTGTGAGTTTTTCGTAGATCTCCCTACCGAGTGGAGAAGGTTCTGTGAGTTTTTCGTAGATCTCCCTACCGAGTGGAGAAGTTTCTGTGAGTTTTTCGTAGATCTCCCTACCGAGTGCAGAAAGTTCTGTGAGTTTTTCGTAGATCTCCCTACCGAGTGGAGAAGGTTCTGTGAGTTTTTCGTAGATCTCCCTACCGAGTGCAGAAAGTTCTGTGAGTTTTTCGTAGATCTCCCTACCGAGTGGAGAAGGTTCTGTGAGTTTTTCGTAGATCTCCCTACCGAGTGGAGAAGGTTCTGTGAGTTTTTCGTAGATCTCCCTACCGAGTGGAGAAGGTTCTGTGAGTTTTTCGTAGATCTCCCTACCGAGTGGAGAAGGTTCTGTGAGTTTTTCGTAGATCTCCCTACCGAGTGGAGAAGGTTCTGTGAGTTTTTCGTAGATCTCCCTACCGAGTGGAGAAGGTTCTGTGAGTTTTTCGTAGATCTCCCTACCGAGTGGAGAAGGTTCTGTGAGTTTTTCGTAGATCTCCCTACCGAGTGGAGAAGGTTCTGTGAGTTTTTCGTAGATCTCCCTACCGAGTGCAGAAAGTTCTGTGAGTTTTTCGTAGATCTCCCTACCGAGTGGAGAAGGTTCTGTGAGTTTTTCGTAGATCTCCCTACTGAGGGGAGAAGGTTCTGTGAGTTTTTCGTAGATCTCCCTTACTGAGTGGAGAAAGTTCTAGTATATTCCTAGTTGGTTGAGTGTTTTTATCATGAAAAGTTGTTAGATTTTTGTTAAATGATTTTTCGCATCAAGTGAGATGATCATATGGGTGTTTTTCCCCCTTTGTTAATATGATGAATTACATTGATTGATTTTCTTATCCTGAACCAACCTTACATTCCTGGGATAAATCCTGCTGGGTCCCAGGGTGTGCCTTTTTACATACTGCTGGACTTGCTTTCCTAGCATTTTATCTAAGATTTTTGCATCCATATTTGTAAGAGGTACTGTCCTTTAATTTTCCTGGAATGTCTTGTTCTGGCTTTGGCACCAGGGTTTGTGAGGATGTCTGACGTTTTCTCAGTATTTGTCTGGGGTGAAGGCGCGCACTGGCACCATCACCATGACGTATCCCTGGCGCTGTGGACCTTGACTGCCTGGCGAGATGTGTCTGTCAGGCTTTCCACTGTCAATCCATAGTGCATTCTCCACAAGGAGGTCACTGGTGCAGCCTGCATGGAGGGAGGGGAGTTTCGTTGCCCCCCTTGGTGTGTGGCGTCTGCACGTTGCCAGGAATTCTTGTGCATGGGAGAGATCCTGCTTCTCTACCATTAGTTATTCCATCATGTATTTATTTATATCAGTGTGGACGTACAGATACTTGTCTTACACTTGCATATTTATTTCAGCGCTGCTCTATTTATCGTGGTGCCCAAATTCTTTTGCCAAAAGGAATTTCCACGTGGTTCCTGTATTGCTTTCACACACCCTCACGGAGTTCTTGGCTTTTCGTTTTGTTTTTCTGAGGACATCCTGACTTCCTAGCACTGCGGGATGCTCCAGGCTCCTCCTGTCCACTCCCCACCCTGGTCCTGGAATCAGCCCCTTCTCCAAGAGCCTTGGGTCCTTACTGAATATTAGGAACTGAGGCCTGGGTGTTGGGTGGGCTGCGTGGTCCTGGGTGCCATAGCTCACAGAGGACGGGCATGTGTGCACTCACTGTGTGTGCAGGCGTCTGTAAACACAGCCAGTGCAGGGGTGCGTGTGTGCTGTGTGCGCAGGAGAGTGTAAACAGTGCACGGGCGCGTGTGTGCTCACTGCGCAGGCATCTGTAAATAGTGCATGGGCGTGTGTGCTCACTGCGCAGGCATCTGTAAACAGTGCATGGGCATGTGTGCTCACTGTGTGCACAGGCGTCTGTAAACTGCACGGGCGTGTGTGCTGTGTGTGTGCAGGCGAGCGTAAACAGTGCACGGATGCGTGTGCTCACCGTGTGCGCAGGCGAGTGTAAGTGCACGGGTGTGTGTGCTGTGCGCAGGCGAGTGTAAACTGCACGGGCGCGTGTGCTCACCGTGTGCGCAGGCGAGTGTAAACAGTGCACGGGTGCGTGTGCTCACTGTGCGCAGGCGTCTGTAAACAGTGCACGGGCGTGTGTGTGCTCACTGCGCAGGCGAGTGTAAACTGCACGGGCGCGTGTGTGCTCACTGTGTGCGCAGGCGAGCGTAAACTGCACGGGCACGTGTGCTCACTGCGCAGGCGAGCGTAAACAGTGCACGGGCGCGTGTGTGCTCACTGTGTGCGCAGGCGAGTGTAAACTGCACGGGCACGTGTGCTTACTGTGCACAGGCGAGTGTAAACAGTGCACGGGCGCGTGTGCTCACTGTGTGCGCAGGCGAGTGTAAGTGCACGGGCGTGTGTGCTCACTGCGCAGGCGAGTGTAAACTGCACAGGCGCGTGTGTGCTCACTGTGCGCAGGCGAGTGTAAACTGCACGGGCGCGTGTGTGCTCACTGCGCAGGCGAGTTTAAACAGTGCACGGGCGCGTGTGTGCTCACTGTGTGCGCAGGCGAGTGTAAGTGCACGAGCGCGTGTGTGCTCACTGCGCAGGCGTCTGTAAACAGTGCATGGGCATGTGTGCTGTGTGTGTGCAGGCGACCGTAAACAGTGCACGGACGCGTGTGTGCTCACCGTGTGCGCAGGCGAGTGTAAACAGTGCACGGGTGTGTGTGCTCACTGTGCAGGCGAGTGTAAACTGCACAGGCGCGTGTGCTCACCGTGTGCGCAGGCGAGTGTAAACAGTGCACGGGCGCGTGTGCTCACCGTGTGCGCAGGCGTGTAAACTGCACGGGCGCGTGTGCTCACTGCGCAGGCGAGTGTAAACAGTGCACGGGCGCGTGTGTGCTCACTGTGCGCAGGCGAGTTTAAACAGCGCACGGGCGCGTGTGTGCTCACTGCGCAGGCGAGTGTAAACTGCACGGGCGCGTGTGCTCACTGCGCAGGCGAGCGTAAACAGTGCACGGGCGCGCGTGTGCTCACCGTGCGCGCAGGCGAGCGTAAACAGTGCACGGGCGCGCGTGTGCTCACCGTGCGCGCAGGCGAGCGTAAACAGTGCACGGGCGCGCGTGTGCTCACCGTGCGCGCAGGCGAGCGTAAACAGTGCACGGGCGCGCGTGTGCTCACCGTGCGCGCAGGCGAGCGTAAACAGTGCACGGGCGCGCGTGTGCTCACCGTGCGCGCAGGCGAGCGTAAGCAGTGCACGGGCGCGCGTGCTCACCGTGTGCGCAGGCGAGTGTAAACAGTGCACGGGCGTGTGTGTTCACCGTGTGCGCAGGCGAGTGTAAACACAGCTGGTGCCCTGGTGCGTGTGTGCTGTGAGCACAGGTGTCTGTAAATGATGTAAACCTCCCTTGACGTCAGGCCCAAAAGCCTGCCTTGCCCTAAGGTCAAGAGGTGTATCTGGCTGATGCCAGCGTCTGGGTGAGGAAAGAGCAGGTTCCACAAGGGCGACTCCTGTGAGGGTGTTGGCCTGAGCGCGCATGCGGGGAGGGGTCGGGGTGGGGGCGGCGCGCCGCAGTAACTCAGGGCCCCATCCCGCTCCCGTCTGTCCAGCGGTCCTAGACCCCCATGTCCTGAAGCGCACCTGTGCCCACCTGGCCCCGGGGAGCGCAGGTGTGGAGATGGGGTGTCGTGCCTGGGGGTTCCTTCCCCACGCGCTGCCCCACCAGGATTTCCCTGGGGTGGGGAGGGCTGCTGAGACAGGGCGCTGCCCTCCTCCAGGGTGACTGAGATGCAGTTTACAACCATGATCTCCTGGCCGGGCGTGGTGGCTCACGGCTGTAATCCCAGCTCTTTGGGAGGCCGAAGTGGGCGGATCACGAGGTCAGGAGATCAAGACCATCCTGGCTAGCACGGTGAAACCCCGTCTCTACTAAAAATACAAAAAAAAAATACTAGCCGGGCGTGGTGGCGGGCGCCTGTAGTCCCAGCTACTCGGGAGGCTGAGGCAGGAGAATGGCGTGAACCCAGGAGGCGGAGCTTGCAGTGAGCCCAGTTCACGCCACTGCATTCCAGCCTGGGCGACAGAGCGAGACTCCATCTCAAAAAAATAAAATAAATAAACAACCATGATCTCCCGTTTCAAGTTGCCACCACTAACTGTAGCCCCGCTGACGGGGGCACTGGCCTTGCAGACTGTCCAGGACGGCCGGCAGTTTCTAAAGTATGTTGACCCCAAGCTGGGAGTCCCACTGCCAGAGAGAGACTACGGGGGAAACTGCCTCATCTACGACCCAGACAATGAGACTGACCCCTTTCACAACATCTGGGTAAGACGCCGGGGGCCCTGAGGCGAGCCCCTCCCCAGGTGTGGCCCCGTGCCGGACCAGGCGCCATCCACGCTCCTGCCTCGCACCCCTCAGCCCACACTTGGGGTCTCCTGGTGCAGAGATGTGCTGAGGCCCTGTCCGTCTGGATGGTGCTCATGGTGGGCAGGGGGCCCCTGCTCTCTAGGCTGTCGTGGACGTGGTCTCCACAGGCCACGGCAGCACCTGTGAGTCCCTGGCCTTCTTCCCGGGGTCTGGCAGGTGCTGCTCAGGTGTGGGCTGATCTGCCGGTGTGGGGAGTGGGGGTGGCTGTGCCCCAGGGTCAAGGGTCATACCCTGTCGCCCACAGGACAAGTTGGATGGCTTTGTTCCCGCGCACTTTCTTGGCTGGTACCTGAAGGTACGGCACCTCCTCTTCCCGGCCTCCCCGCCCCGGTTCTGAGGCCTGCCGTGGGCTCTGGACCGTTTCTGTCCATGGAGTTGAGCTCAGGGTGCTCTGAGTGTGGTGGGAGGGTGTCGCACTGCAGCCACCCAGAGGTTCGAGAAGCCGTGGGGCTCCCGGACCTCCCAGAAGCCCTGATCCTGGTCGGGTCCCCGCTCCGTCCTCAGGGTCGGGGCGGTGGAAAGAGGCGGCAGGGCAGGAAGTCCCGCCCCTGCCTGGGCTTGGGCACTGCCCCATCCCACTTCTGAGGGACCCTGTGCTACCTATGGGGCTAAGAGCAGTGCCTGCTTGACCCTGCAGCCCACCCTGGCAGAGTTTGGTGTCAGGCCCCGGGCACGGGGATGCTGCCTTGTTTGCTGACAGTCGTACATCGAGGCTGCTGGAGGGGCAGCCACCCACCCCACGCTCACCCTGAGACCTCACTGGGGGCCCTGCCAGTGCTGTCGACTCCAAGAATGCTGCCAGCCGGGGTGGGGGCTGCACGCACCCGTGGGCAGGGCCGGGCGTGGCCTGCGTCCCATACTCTGGCTGCCAGCCGGGTGGGGGCTGCACGCACCCGTGGGCAGGGCCGGGCGTGGCCGGCGTCCCATACTCTGGCTGCCAGCCGGGGTGGGGGCTGCACGCACCCGTGGGCAGGGCCGGGTGTGGCCGGCGTCCCATACTCTGGCTGACCCTGGCGCCCACAGACCCTGATGATCCGAGACTGGTGGATGTGCATGATCATCAGCGTGATGTTCGAGTTCCTGGAGTACAGCCTGGAGCACCAGCTGCCCAACTTCAGCGAGTGCTGGTGGGATCACGTAGGTGCCAGCACAGCCCCCGGGGCAGTCGGTGCAGGCTGAGGGGCATTCTCGGAACCCCTGTGCCCAGCGCGGCCCCTGGACCCCCTCATTCTCCCCGGGGGGCAGTGGGTGCAGGCTGAGGGGCATTCTCGGTTCCCCTGTGCTCTTCCGGGGTCCTCCTCGGGGGGCTCGTTACCCCTCACCCCTGCAACGAGTGCTGGCCCCTCCCTGCAGTGGATCATGGACGTGCTCGTCTGCAACGGGCTGGGCATCTACTGCGGCATGAAGACCCTTGAGTGGCTGTCCCTGAAGACGTACAAGTGGCAGGGCCTCTGGAACATTCCGACCTACAAGTACGTCGTGGGGGCTGCGAGGGCAGGGCCGGGTGGGGGTTACCTGGAGGCAGCCTCAGCGTCCGTGCTCCAGCAGACCCCGAGCACCAGGCCCGTCCAGTGTGCGGCTCAGGAGGGGTGACCGTGGGGCTTTGCCTCCTGGAACCTCCCTCTGACCTGGTGTCACTCAAGCCCGGCCGCCCCTCACAGTGGCCATGGCGTCTGACCCACGTACCTCCCTCCTCAATCCCTGGCCGGCCTGGCGCAGGGGCTGTGGGATCATTCCGTGCTTCTCCCTCCCTTGGTTGCTTTGGTTATGAAATAGTTGCAGGTACTTTGTCATTATGACTTTGGAATTTAAAAAAGAAACAGAAGTCTAAGGAAAGGCCTGGGGGACGGGGGTCTCCCCTCCTGCCTGTGGGTGCCCCGGCTCTGCCTGGCTCTGCAGACATGGCTAGCTCACGGCACCGTGGAGCGCCCTCTGAGGCGCTGCAGCCACTGCTCAAGCTGGAAGAGACTGAACAGCAGAGGGCCGTGGAGAAGCAGGGCTTGTAGCTGGGTGGCCAGACCTCGGAGAACAGCCGGGCAGCAGCTGGGTAACCAGGAACAGAGTCTGTGGCCCGATGGCACAGGGCGGGGCGGGGTGACCAAGAGCAGAGCTCGTCCGATGGCACAGGGCGGGGCCGGGTGACCAGGAACAGTCTGTTGCCCGATGGCACAGGGCAGGGTTCGGTGGGCTGCCTTCCTCAGGCTGCCGGCTCTGTGGTTCCCAGGGGCAAGATGAAGAGGATCGCCTTCCAGTTCACGCCGTACAGCTGGGTTCGCTTCGAGTGGAAGCCGGCCTCCAGCCTGCGTCGCTGGCTGGCCGTGTGCGGCATCATCCTGGTGGTAAGGCCGGGCTGCCTCGCGACGGCGCGGCGGGCGGGGGGCCAGAGCTGGTGCTCACCCTCTCCTCCCCTAGTTCCTGTTGGCAGAACTGAACACGTTCTACCTGAAGTTTGTGCTGTGGATGCCCCCGGAGCACTACCTGGTCCTCCTGCGGCTCGTCTTCTTCGTGAACGTGGGTGGCGTGGCCATGCGTGAGATCTACGACTTCATGGATGACCCGTGAGGGCTGCGGCAGTCCGGGTGGAGACACCCCCGGGGGGCAGGGGCCGGAGGGCTGGGGAGCAGAGCCTGGGAGGCCGGAGCCTGGGCAAGTCCGCCTGGAGGACCCTGCGGGGCCCGGGACGCTGAACCCCCTGCTGCCCCTGCAGGAAGCCCCACAAGAAGCTGGGCCCGCAGGCCTGGCTGGTGGCGGCCATCACGGCCACGGAGCTGCTCATCGTGGTGAAGTACGACCCCCACACGCTCACCCTGTCCCTGCCCTTCTACATCTCCCAGTGCTGGACCCTCGGCTCCGTCCTGGCGCTCACCTGGACCGTCTGGCGCTTCTTCCTGCGGTGAGTCAGGGCAGGGCGCGTATGTTCTGAAGGAGGGCCGCTGTCCGGGTCCCTTGGCACAGGCACTGTGGGAGTTTGGTGTCGTTGGTGTCTCACTGTCCCTGCTTCAACCCTCTGGCCGCCTCTGCGGGAGGCGCCTTTCCTGACCCAGCCCTCGGGGCCTTCGCTCTGCACTGACAGATCCAGGCTCCTCAGGGCTCCAGTCTGCCACGGCTGCCGTCCCAGGGCCAGGGTACCCGGCACCCACCCAGTCCATTCCGGACCTCCACAGGGACTAGGTGCCAGCTGTCCATGGGGCCTGCAGTGGGGCTGGTGTGGGGGCAGGTGGTGACGCTGCATCCCGCTCCCCAGGGACATCACATTGAGGTACAAGGAGACCCGGTGGCAGAAGTGGCAGAACAAGGATGACCAGGGCAGCACCGTCGGCAACGGGGACCAGCACCCACTGGGGCTGGACGAAGACCTGCTGGGGCCTGGGGTGGCCGAGGGCGAGGGAGCACCAACTCCAAACTGACCTGGGCCGTGGCTGCCTCGTGAGCCTCCCAGAGCCCAGGCCTCCGTGGCCTCCTCCTGTGTGAGTCCCACCAGGAGCCACGTGCCCGGCCTTGCCCTCAAGGTTTTTTGCTTTTCTCCTGTGCACCTGGCGAGGCTGAAGGCGAGGGGTGGAGGAGGCCCCAGCACAGCCTCATCTCCATGTGTACACGTGTGTACGTGTGTATGCGTGTGTGTACGCGTGTGTACGCGCGTGTGTACACATGCGTGGCCGCCTGTGGTGTGCACGTGTGCTCTGGGCTCCGAGGCTTCTCCAGAGCTGGGAGCTGGCTGGCGTGGCAAGGGCATGCTCTGGGGCAGTGTGTCCCTCAGGAACCAGGGTCCTCCCTCCCCTTTCTGCCTGGTCAGCCCCGTGGCCTCTGGCCCACCAAGCTCCCTGTCACCCAGCCATGGTGTGGTCCAGGCAGGGACATCTCGGTACCCTTTCTGCACTCCGTGGGCCCTGGGTGCGCTGAGGCCTGGAGGCGTCTACACTGGCTCCACATCCACTTCCCCCGCAGCTCGTGTGGGCGCTCGTCCACAAACACTCCGTGGCTGAGAGGCAGCGGATCCAGGCAGCGATGCTGAGCCACCTCCTCCGAGCCTTCCTTTCACACAGACCACCCCGGAGGACACGTGGATGATGGGGTCAGAGATCACTGAGCTGCCCCTCAAGGGGGCCTGGAACCCGGGTGCTGGGGTCATGCTGCCTCCGTGGCTCCAAGGTGAGGGTCATCTTCACGAGCAAAGAGAACCAATAAAGTGACAACGAACGTCTGAGGCTTCCAGCCCTCCCCCCAGCTCCCCGTGTCCTGCTTTGGGGTCCAGTGCAGCCCTCCAGCCTGCCCTCATGCCCAGTGCCCACTTGGGGAAAACCACACAGAGGACAGGAGGCACTCAGCCTCTGCACCTGAGCAAAGACTTGGCGCCTGCCCCGCCCCACCCCCCAGAGAGAGCAGGTGCCAGATGCAGCCCCTCTCCCATTCTCCAGGAGGGTCCAGGTGGCACCCACCCTCTGCTGCGCTTGTCCAAGGGCTGGCGGCCACTGGGCAGTGGACACAGGATTCCTGGGGTACTGTGTTTGTCCCAGGCTGGCAGACACTGGGCAGTGGACACAGGATTCCTGGGGTGCTGTGTTTGTCCCAGGCTGGCAGACACTGGGCAGTGGACACAGGATTCCTGGGGTGCTGTGTTTGTCCCAGGCTGGCAGACACTGGGCAGTGGACACAGGATTCCTGGGGTGCTGTGTTTGTCCCAGGCTGGCAGACACTGGGCAGTGGACACAGGATTCCTGGGGTGCTGTGTTTGTCCCAGGCTGGCAGACACTGGGCAGTGGACACAGGATTCCTGGGGAGGGGCAGCCGCCTTCTCGGGCCACTATTTTTATGTTTTTTTTTCTTTTTCTTTCCTTCCTTTTTGTGGAGAACGGGGTCTCGCTATATTGCCCAGGCAGATCTCGAACTCCTGGGTTCAAGTGATCCTCCTGCCTCTGCCTCCCTGAGAGCTGGGATTACAGGCGTGAGCCACCATGCCCAGCTTGAGCCACTATTTTTTTGAGATGGAGTCTCACTCTGTCAGCCAGGCTGGAGTGCAGTGGCGTGATCTTGGCTCACTGCAACCTCTGCCTCCTAGGTTCAAGTAATTCTGCCTCAGCCTCCCAAGTAGCTGGGATTACAGGCGCATGCCACCATGCCCGGCTAATTTTAGTACTTTTAGTACAGATGGGGTTTCACCATGTTGGCCAGGCTGGTCTTGAACTCCCAACCTCAGGTGATCCACCCGCCTTGGCCTCCCGAAGTGCTGGGATTACAGGCGTGAGCCACCGCGCCCAGCCAGGCCACTATTTCTAAAACTTTACCATGAAAATTTTCAAACACAAATGGAGAGAAAAGGGGTTCCCTGAGCCCTGTTCCTAGCTGGAGGGGGTAGTAAGGGGTGTTGATGGCTGATTGGACACAGCCTGGGGGGACTCCGGGAGCCATTTGCACCCACACCCCCGGGTCTGCCTCGGGGCCCCGGGCGTCAAAAAGCTTTACTTTTAGTATTTTTCCTTGACTACTTTTGGGGAAAATTTCAAGCCCTCTAAGTCAAGGGCTGTAATGTGGAGCACACACAAGAGCAGCCTCTGGGGCTCAGCAGGAAGACGTCCGGTGTGGCCACCGCGCCTAGCAGTCCTCTTTCCAGTCACGGCCACTCACAGCTTTGGCCTCCGTGGCCCTGCACGGATGAGTTCTTCCAGCTGCCCTGCCCTGCGTGCTGCAGGACACATGGGGCCTTAGCATTCTGCTCTTTGCAGGTGGCAGCTTTGATCGCTCAGGAGGAACTGCCACCTGATCTCCCCACTGCAGGGGCCCCCACTCCCCCCCTCACGCGCTGCGGGTCCTGTCACTCCACCCACGCTGTCCATCCCCGCTGATGCTCTGAGCCAGGTGGTAGCAGGTGGGGGTGGCGCCCCGCTCACGGTCTCCATCTGCTCTTCCCGAGGAGGGCGAGGCAGGGCTTGTGATTAAAGTCCTGTGTTCCGGCGCCCGTGTCCCAAAGGCAGCCCCTGGGAGCCCTTCCGGCAGCAACTCAACCCCAGACAGCGCCCAGGGGCTCTGGTTCCTCACGCGCTGAGATGCTCCGGACTCACCTTGGGCATCTCTCGCCCCAGGCCTGGCGTCACCCATTTCCCCAAGGAGCTCTGTTCCCCACTGGAGGTCATAGTTAAGAAACTAAGATCCTGGGTCACTTTATTTTACTTATTTATTTTTGAGACGGAGTCTCACTCTGTCGCCCTGGTTGGAGTACACTGGCGTGAGCTCAGCTCACTGCAACCTCCACCTCCCAGGTTCAAGCGATTCTCATGCCTCAGCCTCCCGAGTACCTGGGATTACAGGCATGCGCCACCATACCCAGCTAATTTTTGTATTTTTAGTATAGATGGGTTTTCACCGTGTTGGCCAGGCTGGTCTCCAACTCCTGACCTCAAGTGATCCGCCCACCTCAGCTTCCCAAAGTGCTGGGATTACAGGCATGAGCCACCGCGCCCAGCCCCTGGGTCACTTTAAAGGGCTTTATAGCCAGGTGCAATGGCTCACACCTGTAATACCCGCACTTTGGGAGGCCAAGACCAAACACCAGCCTCGGCAACATGGCAAGACCCTGTCCCTACAAAAAGTACAAAAATTAGCCAGGTGTGGTGGTGCATGCCTGTAGTCCTAGCTACCTGGGAGGCTGAGGTGGGAGGACGGTTTGAGTCCCAGAGGTCCAGGCTGTAGTGAGCCAAGATTGCGCCACTGCACTCCAGCCTGGGCAAGAGAGAGACCCTGTCCAAAAGAGGGGGATTGCCAGGCAGCTTCTTTGCAATGAACTTGTAGTTGCTGACTCAGCATCGGACCTTTGAAAGCTGGTGAGCGTCCCCCTCTTGGCTTGGCAGGGCAGGGCACCCCGGGCTGGCCCACCTTGGTCAGCTGTCCACCCGTGGGCAAGATGGGCTGCCCCATCATCCCACACAGAGCTGGGGCGAGCACTGGGCTCCGGGCAGGAACCCGGGCCGCGCTGGGCCGCGCTGGGCTGGGCTGGGCTGGGCTGGGCTGGGCTGGGCTGGGCTGGGGGGCAGTCAGGGCAGTGCTGGGGGCTCCTGAGGCTCCGGGGTGGAAGCTGCGGGAGCAGCTGGGCCTGCAGGCAGCTCCCAGCAGGCGTCACCCTGCACGGGCAACAGAGCCAAGGGGCATCCCTCCACCCTGGGCAGGGCCTGCCCTGTGCTCCCCAGTGTGGGTGGGTGCAGCTCAGGGGACCCAGCTGAGCACAGCCAGGGCCTTGGGCTGCTTCCCTGGTGCGGGGTCCCTTAGGCAGGGAGAGAAGCCAAGTGGGGTGGTGTCGTCTCCAATGCCAGCGCCTCGCAAGGACCCCAGGAAGGACAAGAGCCTCTCCTGCCAAGAAAGTGCTTTAATGATTATAAAGTGTCCAAAATATACTGGCAGAAATAAGCGGATCTGAGCGTTTCTCTTCAAACCTAGGATATGCAGGGTGAGAGCATGGCAGGGGCTGGTGGGCCCCAGGGTTGCCTCGAGGCCGGTCGTCCAGGGAGAGCAGCAGCAGGAAGAGCCTCAGGAGATGACCCTCAGGGATGGCTTGTCCTTCTCCAGGGCCTGCAGCCGGTCCTCCATCTCCTCAGACCAGTAAATGTCGTACAGGCTGCACACAGGCCAGAAGGGAGGCATGGGCCCGTGTCCTCCCCCACCCCCGCCTTCCTCCCTGGGCAGCCCTGGCCGCACCACCCGCCCAGCGCGTGCACATACACCAGCTGCTCCAGGAGGCAGCCCGGCTGCCGGACGCTCTCCACCAGCTGCAGGATGCCGGCGTCCCCCAGGCAGTTGTTGCTGAGGTCCAGCTCACGCAGGCTGTGGTTGGCCAACAGGGTTGCGGCGAGGCTGCTGCAGCTGCTGTCACTCACATCGCAGTCGGCCAACCTGGGTGAAGCAGGGCGGGGGTCAGGGTGCCGGGCGTGCCTGGCACCGCACTGACCGGCAGAGCAGGCCTGGGCCTGGGGGGCGCGACGGACACCTGTGCTCGGCAACTCAGGACCCTCAGGTGGGGCCGTCCCCAAGGCTCACCGTCCCTGTGGCCCTGGGCAGGTTCCCCACCACGGACAAGGAAGGCACAGACAAGCGAGGCACAAGCAGCCTCACTCGCCTGAGATCTTCTGCAGGGAGGAGAAAGGACAGGAGAGAGATGTCGTCCACCCAGAGAGCCACACCCACCCCCTTGTCACCTCGACACCGTCTGGCTGCGTGGGCTTCAAAGGAGAAGCCAGCCAGAGACTGAGGAGCAGCTGTGGGGAAACGAGGGTATGGAGGGTACCAAGACAAGAACAGAGTGGACAACAGACTTTAGGCTCCAGAGAGAGACAAGAGAACGGGTCAGACAAAAGAGGATGGGATAGAGAAGACCCAACACCCACTTCCCGGGGTGGAGCCGCCACAGGCCGGACAGCAGGGCCAAGGAGTTGCACTGGACCTCTCCAAGGTGGGGGCCAGGGAAGCTGCAGGACCCCCACCCTGTGAGTGGCTCAGGGGGAACAAGTCTGCAGTGACCAGGACCCAAGGTTCCTCTCCACATCTGGAACACCCACAAGGTCCTGGCAGCCAGGATGGTGTCCCCTGGCAGGGAACTGAAAATCCCCCATCAGGAGGAAGCCCTCGAGAAACGCAGCCATGACTCGGCCTGCAGGGCTCACTGTCCAGGGCTCCCGGGCCTCACTCTGCACCTGGTGCCCAGCCCAGGATGACCAGCCACCCACGGAAAGCCCCTGGCGAGAGGCACACGGGAAACAGCAAACAAAAGACAAAACACTGAGGGTGGAAATTCAGTAGACTGGCTGGTAAATGAGAACATCTCCCAAAAATAAAACAAAACATCGAAAAGAAAATTTGGAGAACATAATTAGAGGGTCACTCCACAAGACATCAGGACAGGCTCATGGGCACACCAAAAAAGAAACATAAGAAAGGAGAGAGAAAAAAATCACCAAAGGTATATTTTCTTAGTAGAACCAAGTATCCAGCACAAAGAACCAAGACCCCCATCAAGGCCAAGCACATGGAACCCCTAACACAGTGAACAAAGAGAGCTTGAAAAGCTGCCAACGAGAAAAAGCAGATCGTGCACACAAGGTCACAGTGGCTCACGCCTGTAATCGCAGCACTTTGGGAGGCTGAGGCAGGCTCATCACTTGAGGTCAATAGTTCAAGACCAGCCTGCCCAACATGGTGAAACCCCATCTCTACTAAAAATACAAAAATTAGGCCAGGCGTGGTGGCTCACGCCTGTAATCCCAGCAATTTAGGAGGCCGAGGCAGGCGGATCACGAGGTCAGGATATCAAGACCATACTGGCTAACACGGTGAAACCCCATCTCTACTAAAAGTACAAAAAATTAGCCTGGTGTGGTGACGGGCGCCTGTGGTCCCAGCTACTCGGGAGGTTGAGACAGGAGAATGGCATGAACTTGGGAGGCGGAGCTTGCAGTGAGCCAAGATCGCACCACTGCACTCCAGCCTGGGCGACAGAGCAAGACTCTCTCAAAAAAACAAACAAAATAAAATTAGCCGGGCATAATGGTGCATGCTATACCCGGCTAAATGATCCAAGGACAGAACAGGGGCACAAGACCCCAAAAATTACCTCCTGCAAAACCTTTTCTTAGAAAGCTGCAAAAGAACGTGCTTTAACAAAGAAAACAAATCTGGAAAAACATCCTGACACAGGCGGGGTTCCCGCAAGGGAGAAAGGTGGGCGGGGCTTCCAGGAAGATGGACCACAGGGTGGCCAGGTAGGCTGGAGCTCCGTGAAGCTCTCAGGCTTCATGAAACATGACCTCTGACTTTCAGAGTTAAAATGAGAACTAAGCCAGAGTGGTGCCGCCAGCCCGCCTTTCCCAGTACATGAACATGCACCCTCACTCTCGCCCATGTGCTCACACTCACATGGACACTCGTGCTCACTCTCGCCCATGTGCCACACTCACGTGCTCACTCGCCCATGTGCTCACACTCACATGGACACTCATGCTCACTCTCACCCATGTGCTCACACACGGACACTCGTGCTCACTCTCACCCATGTGCTCACGTACTCTCGCCCATGTGCTCACACACGGACACTCATGCTCACTCTCGCCCATGTGCTCACACACGGACACTCGTGCTCATTCTTGCCCATGTGCTCACACACGGACCCTCGTGCTCACTCTCACGTGCTCACACACGGACACTCATGCTCACTCACCCATGTGCTCACACTCGGACACTCGTGCTCTCACCCATGTGCTCACACACGGACACTCATGCTCTCTCGCCCATGTGCTCACACACACTCGTGCTCCCTCTCGCCCATGTGCTCACACTCACACGGACACTCGTGCTCATTCTTGCCCATGTGCTCACACACGGACCCTCGTGCTCACTCTCACGTGCTCACACACGGACACGTGCTCATTCTTGCCCATGTGCTCACACACTGACCCTCGTGCTCACTCTCACGTGCTCACACACGGACACTCGTGCTCTCACCCATGTGCTCACACACACGTGCTCACCCATGTGCTCACACACGGACACTCGTGCTCATTCTTGCCCATGTGCTCACACACGGACCCTCGTGCTCACTCACGTGCTCACACGGACACGTGCTCACTCTCACATGCTCACGGACACCCATGCTCACACTCATATGCTCACACACGTGCTCACACTCGCCTCACCCATGTGTGCTCACATACACACGGACACTCGTGCTCACACAGATACTCGTGCACTCTCGCCCTTGTGTGCACACACGGGCATATGATCTCCCAAATGTGCATACTCGTGTCCCTCACACACTCACCAGAGCACCCGCAGCACAGAGCCAGGCTGGCCCAGGCCCTGGCACAGCTCCCGCACGCCCGCATCCTCCAGCCTGTTGTTGCTTATCTGTAGCTCCAGGAGAAACCTGTTCTGGGCCAGCACTGAGCTGAAGTGGGAGCAGCAGGCGGCTGTGAAGCTGCAGGACTTCACCCTGTGGACACAGACAGGACTGACGCCTGGCAGGGGCCCAGGCTGGCCCACAGCTGCGACTGGCCCTTCCCCTGAAGGCCCCACGTGGACCTGAGCAAAAACATCTGACAGCCTCCCAGCAAGTGGGCACCTACACCTGGTCCTTGGCCCCAAGCACTGTTCCCATCAAACCACAGGCTGCTCCCTGGCCTATGCATTCTGAAGGTCGGAGCTGAGCCCAGCAGCTTCCCTGGAGTCGCTCACTCCTCCCCTGGTCTCCTCGGTCACCCTGGCCCTCTCTTGGGCGACAGGGCCCTGCCCCGACAGCCACACTCACCACAGCGACTCCAGCTGGCAGCCAGGTTCCAGCAGGGTCTCACACAGCAGTCGGGCACCCTCATCCCCCAGCTCGTTGCCGGCCAGGCTGAGCTCCTTCAGGCTCTCCTTGGCCCTGAGGACACGGCACAGATCCCCGCAGCCCTTGGCAGTGATGCCACACTCCCAGATCCTGCAGGACATGGACCACCACAGACTTTCCTCAGCACCGTCTCATGGCCTGAGATGAGCCCAGGGGCGGGGGAGAGCTCTGAGGACGGCCCGCCGCCCGACCCTCCGGGAAGGAGGCCTCGCGGAGATGACTCACCACAGGGTCCTGAGCCTGGAGCTGGGGTGGAGCAGCCCTGGGCACAGCTCCGCCATGCCCACATCACCCAGCTTGTTGCTGCCCAGGGCCAGCTCCCGCAGCGAGGCCTTGGAGGCCACAATGCCGCACAGGTCCCGGCAGTTGTCTGATGTCACACCGCAGCTCTCCAGCCTGGGGACACGGGTCACACGTGAGGCAGCACGGGACCCCCCCTAGCCCACACCCCGCACCCCCCCAAGGCCCAGTGCCTACTTGAGCGCCTCCAGCTGGCAGGGGGAGTCCTTCAGGCCCTGGCACAGCACACGGACGCCAGCCTCATTGATGTCGTTGTTGCTAACCGTGAGCTCCTTGAAGTCCGGCTTGGCCCTGAGCACGGAGGCCAGGGGCTCGCAGCTGGCAGCCGAGAGGCTGCAATACTCCAGCCTGGGGGACAGCAGAGCTCAGCACCACACAGGAATGTGCACCAGCCAAGGGTGTGATACCAGGGAGCACGGGGTGTGCTGGTGTCTCATCTCCCCTCAGTCTTCTGCCTGGGCATCAGGTGTCAGTGCTGAGGGACCCCCACAGACTCATCCAGAGGCCCGGGCCTCTGTGGACACCGGCATTCCTTCTGGAAACCCCTCACCCCCTCCCGGACCTCAGACTTTGGGGCCCAACCAGGCCCGGGAGAAAGAAACCAGCCTCTGGAGGGCAGGGCCACCTGCACGTCCCAGGCTGTGGTCAACTCACAATGGCCGGGTCCCCCACACACACTGAGGCGGTGAGTGGAACCTGACTCACGGCCAGGCATCTGTTCCCACCGTCGGGTCCTGGGGCAGCTGTGCCTTGCAAAGGACAACTGGATGGGGAGGGAGGGTGATGACAGATCCCCCCAGCCCCAGCATCATGGGGAGAGGAGAGCACCACAAGGCCCCAGACCCAGCATCATGGGGAAAGGAGAGCACCACAAGGCCCCTGTGACCTGAGTCCCCTCCTCACGGCTCCTGGCAGGCGATGTTCTATGTAGGGGGCTGGCTGGGGGACAGGCAGCGGCCAGCATGGGCCCTGGGGCAGGACACAAACTCACTGCAGCTTTTCCAGGCGGCACTGGGGGTCCAGGAGTCCTTCGCAGAGCAGCTGCAGGCCCGCATCCCCCAAGAGGTTGTCGCTGAGGTGCAGCTCCTGCAGGGTGGGCAGGGTGCGTAGTGTGCTGGACAGGACCCCGCAGCCGGCCCCCGTCAGGCAGCAGTTCTGGAGGCTGGAGCATACCTGGCTGTCAGCAGGGCTCCCCTGAGCCAAGCTGCCACGCCCTTCGCCTGCCAGAGCCCAGAGCCCGGAGCAGCACTCTTCAGGCGGCAGGTCTATACCTGCTCCTTCCCTGGACGGGGCTCTGGGGTCTGGGGTCTCCAGGCCGAGTGAAGGAGGGCACGCATGTGGCTCGACCCAGGGAAACCTTGTCTGCAGACACACCTTTCAGTGGGGGTCTGTGGTGATGCTGGAAGGCTAGGGATGGCGGGCAGGGCCAGATCTTGGGTGCGGGGGCTGGGATAAGGCAGGAAGGGCCCTGTCCCCCCCGCTGTGAGACCGCCAGGCCTGTGTGCCTCTGGCTGATGTTGGAAATGTCTGCTGCCACTGCCTGTCCACCTGCAGCTGCCCACGCGCCCCTGGCGGCTCTGTCCCCTGCTGCCGGGCTACCAAAGCAGACTGCACCAGGCCAGAGGCAGTGCCAGGCCCCGCCTCACCTCAGCTTCTGGATCTTGCAGGAGGGGGTCTGCAGGCCCTGGAGCACGCAATGCACGCCGACATCGCCCAGCTCGTTGCTGCGCAGGTTGAGCTCTGCCAGTGCAGGGTTGACTCGAAGTGCAGAGCTGATGTCCTTGCACCGTGCTTCCGTGAGGCCACAGTCGTCCAGCCTGTGAGCAGACCCCAGGGTCATGTGGACCACGCAGACAGCACTGGCCTCAGCCTCCACCACCACCCCACGTGCAGGTTACAACCTATCAGTGGGCCCAGAAGACAGCAAGGCAAGTCACACAAGACATTTCAGAAATGAAACAAAAAGGAGGAACTGTTCCATGAAAGTTTTGTTTAAGATGCTCGCACGTGGCCAGGCGCGGTGGCTCACGCCTGTAATCCCAGCACTTTGGGAGGCCGAGGCAGGCAGATCACCTGAGGTCGGGAGTTCAAGACCAACCTGACCAACATGGAGAAACCCCGTCTTTACTAAAAATACAAAAGTAGCCGGGCGTGGTGGCGCATGCCCATAATCCCAGCTACTCGGGAGGCTGAGGCAGGAGGATCACTTGAGCCCAGGAGGTTGAGGCCGCATAAGCCATGAGGGAGCCACTCCAGCCTGGGTGACAGAGCAATGCCCTGTCTCTAAAAATAAAAAGAATTTAAAGTATCTCTCGAAGGCACTGATCAGTCACAGGAGGAAAGGCAGTGGCGTCACAGTGGAGAGGGTGGCAGACGGCGCCTGTGACAGGACGCTCCTGGCAGGCCCCACGGCATCTCCCTGCATTCCTGCCAAAACTGTAGGACTTCAACCACAAGAAACCACCAGACAAGCCCCAACAGAGGACGTCCTGCAGGAGCCTGGCCAGACCCTCAGACCACCAAGAACCCAGAGAGACGAGGGGACAGTCACAGACGGGAGAGGGCTAAGGAGACAGAGGGCTGAGGGCCACGCAATCCTGGACCAGTGAGGAAGACGAAAAGGGCAGGGCGGAAAAGCAGACCCTGCCTGGAGGTGCTGGGCCAGAGCTAGCGTCCGCAGGTACACAGGACCACCTCACCAGGGAGCCCCGTCCGGTCCTCGTAACTCCTCCGCAAACCTGACACTACTTGAAATCACCAGGTAAAAAGAGAAAAGATGCGGCCCACCCAGGCACTCGTGTCCTGCTTGTGAAGCTGCTGGGTTTGTGAGGACCTCGAGGGCCGAGGACTCCCAGCCCCCAGCTTGGCAGGGACAAGCAGCGCCCCATGGAGGCTCACGGAGGGGACCCAAGCTGTGTCCTGCCCTCGTGTCTCCAAGGGAGGGAGAGGAGCTGAGACACCGGAGCCAGAGACCCACTGGCCAGTGGCCGCCCACCTCGGCCCGCCCACCTCAGCCCATGCTGCATGAGCCTGGAATGGGTTTTACATTCCTAAATTGTCAAAAAGAAACACAAGAATCACATCTCATGCACGTGGTAGCTGCACAGAATTCATACTTCATGTCCACAAACAAGGCGTTCCAGAGCAATGCACCCTTCAGAGGGAGCCGCCACCCGCCAGCCTGCCCCACCAGCACCCCAAGGCCACCCCGAGAGCAAGCGTACCTGACCACTTGGCACTGCTGGAGCAGAGGGAGGAGCTCGGCCCATCTAGCGTCGCTCAGCTCCTCACACTGGATGTCCAGGCTCTGGATGTCCAGGCTCATGGTGGAGGTGAAGAGTGGCCTGGGTGGGAGGCAGAGGGAAGAGGACGTCTTGGCCGAATCCCCTCACAGTTTCACAGGCCGGAGATTCTGCAAACAGGACCCACAGGGCTGATGTTTCAGGAGGAGCCGCAGCCTCTCCCTGGGCAAACACTTCCTCTTCAGCACCCTCCCCACCTTTGTCTCTGGAGCAGACATCAGGGGTGGGGCAGGGGGCAGGGACCAGCACCCACCCCCAGAAAGGCCACCATGGGCAGCAGAGCTTGGGTAATGCAGATGCCAGCCCATCTCCTGGCTATCACCACCCAGCCTCTGTGGGCACCTCCTCCTGCCCCACAGAGGGCGGGACAGCAGCAGCCCGGGAAGCCCCTGCCTCTCATTTGCTTGGGCAAGGACAGGGTAGGGTGGGGTGGTCTGTGAGCCTGGAGGCCCCAGCAGGGGAGCAAGGGGGTCTGTGGGCTTGACCTGTGTCTCACCCTCAGGACAGGCAGACTGTGCGGGCCAGGCAGGCTGCCCACAAAGCCAGAGACCTCCCAGGATGCCAGGATCCTGGACCCGGCCACAGTGTCCGAAGCAAGACAGAGCAGGGGGGCGGCCACTTGGGGTGTCAGCTTCCATGGCCCCCTTCTGGGGTTGGGGACTCTGCACCAGGCTACAGCACATCCCCTGCCCCACGGCACACTAGCCCAGAGGCTGGGCTACCAGGCAAGCTGGGTGGGTCAGCCTGGGATGGGCACAGCTGCTACACCCTGAAGCCTCCCCAGGCACAGGCCCTGAATATGGAAGGAGGTTCCTGAGGCCCTGAGAGCACAGCTCAGGTACCCGCCAGGGGCCTGGGGAAAGTGGTCAGGCAGAGACAGCCACCCCAAACCTTGGTTGGTGGATACATTCCCTGAGCACCTGCCAAGCACTGGCCTGGGGACTACAGCAGGGCAGGAACCTGGAGAGGAGGCTTGGATGGCCAGGAAGGCTCCCTGGAAGCAGCAGCACTGATGCCACAATGCGGGGAGGGGTGGGTGGGGTGGGGAGAGGGCTCTCATCCAGAAGCCCCAGAAAGTTGGCAGGATCCACTTGGGGAAATGATGCAACCCCAGCTGCCCTTCAGAAAGACGGCCAACAGGACCGCTTGAGAGGCTCCTGGTGCCCTGACACCCCCAGCTTCCTGAGTCTGTGTGCCTGGCACTCCTCTCCCCGGGGCTGCTTCAGAGGCGGCTGGTCCACTCTGCATGAGTGGAGGCAAGAGGCCCCTGGTACCAACTGGGAGGAAAGACGCAAGGCTGGGCTCGGGTCCACACGCCTGGGCGCCCGGCCTGCAAGGACAGTGGCAAAGGGTGGTGACATCCCACGGCCCCACATGGAGGAACTGAATCCAACCGACCCGAAGCACGTGAGCAAAACCGACCAGGGTGTGGTCACCCAAATTCTGACTCCAGAATCTAGTCATCAGGAGGCACTGTGGGCGGGAGGGCGGGTGGAAGGAGAGCCTCAGGGGGCTGCCCAGGGTGCACACGCTCCCCAAATCCAGCCTGACACTCCTGTGTCCTCTGCAGCCAGATGAAAGGTGGCCCCAGGGTGTCCTCCTCCTGGGAAAGCTTGGTGGGAGCTCAGGGTGGCCAGTGCTCCCGTGACCATCTGCAACTAGCGCTGCGGGAGTAGCCCCGTCCCTACCCCTCAGGCTTGGCCAGACCCTGTTGTATCCCAGAAAGGCCCTTCTGAATCTCTGTGGGTCACGGATCCCACTGAGGACCCCATGAAAATGCGGGAGTAAACGCCCTTCTCTGTGACTGGAGAAGTCCCTGGCTCCCTACACAGCCAAAGCTAAAAGCACATTCAGGAACCCACTACCACCAGCTGGCAGCCTGCTTTGGTTGAGGCAGGGATCTGAACAGAGGCCCTAACGGTCCCTTATCCGGAGACCAGACTTTCTCAACCTTACGGAGGGAGGTCTCCGCAGCACCCAAGGCCTGGGCCCCACCCTGGGGAGCCACATGGGAGGGGCCGTCTGGAGGCCAATTCAGGTCCTTATGTTCCGACGTGACGGGGGCGCGGGGCCACCCTCTAGGGAGACACGGGCCACGCTCAGGCGACGCGCAAAAGTTCCCGGTCCCTGGGACCCCCGCCCGCGCCCGCGTCGAGTCCCTCGAACCTGCTAGTTCTGGACACCCTGCTGCAGACTAAAGGGCTGGGAGGAAACCTCACAAAAACACGAAGGGGGTCTCCCCTGCCTCTCTGCCCCCGCCCGCGCCCGCTCCGCCCGGGACGCTCACCCGACGCCGCCGCCGCAGACCCAAGGCCAGAGCCGCTCCGCGTTCCTTCCGCCCAGGCGGGGGCGGGCGGAGCCTCCAGGCCGGGGCTGGCGGGGAGTCCACCCTGGGGGCCGCGCCCGCTAGTCGTCGCCCACTCGACCCTCTGGGCTCAGCCCCCGGGCCTCGTCCCAGCTACTACCCCAGCTTTCCCACTCCCCCCTGGGTCGGGGGTGAAGCCTGACGTCCGCATCCCGTTTCCCACTCTGGCCCCAACCAGCCTTTCCACCGTACAGCCGCCTTCCCCCAGACCATCCCTCCAGCTCTGGCAGCTCCCACCACCCTCGAGGGACCGGCCCCTGCCTCCTCCCACAAGCAGGCCGGATTCCAGGAATTGCCCAAACAATAAAATAAAGCAAACCTGAGACACCCCTTTTTGCTACCAGACTGGAGAAGGTGGAACAGGTTGACGATGATTTGTTGTAGCTGAGGCGAACGGGGCGAGGCTGTGAGGACGGGTTTTGGAGCGCCGCTCGGCCGTCCTCAAAACTTTGGACACACCCTCCGTTTCTGTCAGTCAAGAGTTCTTCATGCCTGAGCTCGGGAAGCATGTTCAAAATCTTTTTTTTTTTGTTTGGTCCCGCCTTTCTGGACCAAACCAATGGATATCTTAAATGTATTTCATTAATGCCTCATGTCTCTCTAAAACATGTAAAACCAAACTGCCCCAACCACCTTGGGCACATGTTCCCAGGATCCCCTGAGGGCTGTGTCACCGGCCGCGGTCACTCATATTCGATTCAGAATAAATCCCTTCAAATATTTTACATTTTAACTATTCTTATCGACAGTACATTTTTTAAAATAAGAATGGCCCTGAAAGATGTCCACCTCCTAATCTCCAAACCTGTGGTGTTACCTTAAGTGGCAAAAGGGACTTTGCAAATATTAAGAATATTGAGATGTGAAGGCTACCCTGGGGTGTCTGGGCGGCCGGCATATAATCATGAGAGTTCTTATGCAGAGACAGTAGGTTTTGAAGATGGAAGAAGGTGGCCTCTAGAAGTTGGAAGAGGAAAAGAAGCAGATTCTCCTTGGGAAACTCCAGAAGGAACTACCCTTGCCAACACCTTGATTTTAACCTCCTAAAACTCACTTCGGGCTTCTGAGCTCCAGGCCTATAAAACAGCCTGTGACAAATTCGTTATAGCAGGGATGAGAAAATAGCTCACTGCAGCCTCCTCTTCCAGGGCTCAAGTGCTCCTCCTCCCTCAGCGTCCCAAGTAGCTGGGACTACAAGCGTTCACTACCGCAACTGGCTAATTTTTTCTATCTTTTGTAGAGACGGGGGTCTCACTATTTTGGCCAAACTCAGTATGTTGGTCGCAAACTCCTGGGCTCAAGAGATCCGCCCGCCTCGGCCTCCCAAAGTGCTGGGATTACAGGCTGCAGCGCACCCAGCCTAATGTAACTTTTTTTTTTTTTTTTTTTTTTTGAGAAGGAGTTTCGCTCTTGTCAGCCGGCTGGAGTGCAGTGGCACGATCTCGGCTCACCGCAACCTCCGCCTCCTGAGTTCAAGCCATTCTCCTACCTCAACCTCCCAAGTAGCTGGGATTATAGGCGCCTGCCACCACGCCCGGCTAATTTTGTATTTTTAGTAGAGACGGGTTTTCACCATGTTGGCCAGGCTGTTCTCGAACTCCTGACCTCAGGTGATCCGCCTGCCTCTGACTGCCCGGCCCAGTGTAACTGTTAACGGCAACATCGTGTGCAGTCTCCGGCTTGCATTCGGTTTAGTCAGCCAATCGCTAAGACGACACTTGAGACCGTTTTCAGATCTTTAGGCTTTCCACCATCCTAGAAGGGGGCCTGCCTGGTTCTAAGGCCCTTCTGAAACACTGCCAAACTGTCCTCGGGAAACGGTGCAGAAGTCCTCTGGTTTCCCCCAAGGCGCGTGGGCACCTTGGCTGGAACCTCGCCCAGTAACACGACGTGCCTGGGGCCCCTTCGTCATTTCCGCCAACCCCGGTGACAACCCTGACACCGGCCCCTAAGTGCCATTCCAGTTATGTTGCTCTCCTCCCCGCAGCCCCAGGCGGCAGCTTCGCGGCCCGGCGTCCGGTCCCCCGGTGGTCCCGGAGCGAAGCTCCGCAATGGAGAGCGGAGGACCCTCCCTCCCCGACCTCGCACGACCAAGACCGCCCACCTTTCCCCCAACGCCCGGCTGTGGGAGCCGTTCGAGTCTTCTCCGCCAGGGCGCTCCTTCCCGGGAGGCCGCTTCTTTGGGGGAATAAGGTCAAGGATTACGGGATTTGGGGAAGCAAGCTCGGCTGGGCCAGGATTGCTTGCGTAGCTCGCTGGAATCTAAGGCACTAGAGGGCTTGACGGCCACGTGAGGACGAACCACGCAGGCGCAGCCCCGCGCCCCGGGCAAGGACTTCCGGCAAGCCCCAAAGGGGAGCGTGCACCGCGATGACGTCCTCAAGGCGCGCCACGTCCGCCCGGCGGCGCAGCTGCCCAGCGCAACCTCGGCCCCGCCTCGATAGCCCCGGACCCCTGCCCCGCCCGACCCCGCCCCGCCACGGGAGCGCGCCACTCGCCCGCGCAGCAACGGCCTCAATAGCGCCAGGCCCGCGTCTACAAGAAGCCCGACCAAGGCCGGCGTGGGCGAGGCCTGGCTAGACGCTGACGCACCGCTGGAGCTACTGACCTCGGGACGACTGGCGGACGGTCGCGGGCCTGGAGACCCAGAGCGAGACGGCCTACTTCGTTCTCGAGCCAGCAGAACGGGTTGAACGTGTCGACAACCCCACCCGCCAGTCAGCGGCGCGGGCGTGTTCGAGCCGGCTCGTGGGCGTGGTCAGGTGCGTGGGCGGGGACTACTGGGCGGGGCTCGGCGCGGGGGCGGGGCCTGGCGGGAGTAGTCTCGGGGTCGGGGCGGGGCCCGGCGGGCGGGGCTCGGCTAAGCACAGTCTTGGCGCAGCGGCGGGGCCTGGTGGGGCGTGGCTCGGTGAGGGAGGTCTCGCTTGGGGGCGTGGTCTCCCCCAGTAGGCGGGGCTTGGTGCCGGGGGCGGGGTCTGGCGGGCGCGGGCGCGTGTGCGTGTTGTGGGCCTCGCACTGGCACGCAAGTCTCAGCAATTCCTGAGAATCCTCGGAGGAAGAGGCCGGGGCCCGGTGCGGCAGCGCCTTGGGGGCGGAATCGCAGGCGCGGGTCGGGCCTTGCTGGGGCGCGGGGCGCGGCCCCCGGAGAAAGCGGCCGCCTCGGGACAGGAGGGACCCGGGAGAAACCCCCCTGGGGCGGCTCCGCATGTCGGGGTCGCGACTCTAGGCGACCTTGGTAGAGGGGCTCGTTTGCGCCGAGCTCGCGACCCCCGAGGGAGCCACGGCCCCGTGAACCACGCTGCCCGTCCTGGCCACTGGCTGCCGCCTTTGTTTCGTGGGACCCCAGCCCGCAAGGCCTGCGGAGCCGCGGCCTCGTCCCGAGTGTTCTGAGCGCGGTCCGAGCTGCTCCTGCGTCCACTCTGCTGCCGACACCCGAGCGTCGCCTGGAGCCCTGGCACTGAGGGGCGCAGGCCGAGTTCCAGACCAGCCTGGGAAACGCAAAGCGACCCCACCTCCACAAAAGTGGGTTTTCTTTAAGTTTTTGACTAGTCCGCAATTCACAGAATTGACATTTTGGCAGATGAAGATTGCAAGTAAGGAAACTAACGGTATCTCAGATTTGTTCTTTAGCAATTTGCTAAACCTCTCCTCTGACTGCCTTTATTAGGTATTTGTTTTCGAGACAGGGTCTCACTCCACTGCTTAGGCTGTACTGCAGTGGCGCGATCCCAGCTCGCTGCAGCCTCCACCTCCCGGACTCCAGTGATCCTCCCGCCTCAGCCTCCCAAGTAGCTGGTACCACAGGCGCCAGCACGCCTGGCTAATTGTTGTATTTTATGTAGAGAAGAGGTCTCCCTGTGTTGCCCAGCCTGGTCTTGAATTGGGCTCAAGTGATCCTCCTGCTTCAGCCTCCCATATCGCTGGAATTACTGGCATAAGCCACTACACCCGGCCTGATCATCTTTAAAGAAGGTGGTTCTGGCCGGGCGTGGTGGCTCACACCTGTAACCCCAACACTTTGGGAGACCGAGAAGGGTGGATCACCTGAGGTCAGGAGTTCAAGACCAGCCTGGCCAACGTGGTGAAACCCCATCTCTACTAAAAATACAAAAATTAGCCAGGCATGGTGGTGGGCACCTGTAATTCCAGCTACTTGGGAGGCTGAGGCAGGAGAATCGCTTGAACACGGGAAGCAGAGGTTGCAGCGAGCCTAGACCACACCATTGCACTCCAGTTCGGGCAACAAGATGAAACTCTGGCTGGGCGCGGTGGCTCACACCTGTAATTCCAACACTTTGGGAGGCCAAGGCAGGCAGATCACCTGAGGTCAGGAGTTCAAGACCAGCCTGGCCAAGATGATGAAACCCCATCTCTACTAAAATTACAAAAACTTAGCCAGGCATGGTGGTGCATGCCTGTAATCCCAGCTACTCAGGAGGCTGAGGCAGGAGAACCACTTGAACCCAGGAGGCAGAGGTTGCAGTGAGCCAAGATCGTGCCACTGTACTCCAGCCTGGGCAACAAGAGCGAAACTCCATCTCAAAAAAGAAAAAAGAAACTCCGTCTCAAAAAGAAGGTGGTTCACACACACACACACACACCCCCAAGAAAGCTCAGGGCTGGAAGGCAGCCAACCTGGCTGTGACCCTCATCCTGCACACGTGAGCTTGGTGACCAGTAGCTGATTCTTTAACTCTCTAAGCTTTGGAGTCTGGATGTGAGGTTTAGAATTCATGACAAGAAGCTGGAAGGATGCCGCCAGTCTGACTCCTGGACTGGTTCTCTTGACATCTTTGCAAAAGCTGCTGAAATGTTCTGGTTTCATTTCATTCTTTTCTTTGCCATGATCTCTTAGATTTGTTCGTGGCAATTCTCATAAGAGTGAAGAAAATGTTTAAAATGGCTGTTGGGCTCCCTTTTGTGACACCTTGTGGGGAAGGTGCCCAGGTATGTATAGGTGCTGAGCGCACGGCCAGCATGGTGTCTGTGGCCGGGCCTCCCTCCTGGACAGTGCGGCCACAGCCCCTGAAAGGTATGTCTTCATTTTTATTTTATTTTATTGAGATGGAGTCTCGCTCTGTCGCCCAGGCTGGAGTGCAGTGGCGCGATCTCGGCTCACTGTAAGCTCCGCCTCCCAGGTTCAAGCCATTCTCCTGCCTCAGCCTCCCGAGTAGCTGGGACTACAGGCACCTGCCACCACGCCCGGCTAATTTTTTTTTTTTTTTTTTTTTTGTAATTTTAATAGAGACAGGGTTTCAGCGTGTTAGCCAGGATGGTCTCGAGCTCCTGACCTTGTGATTCGCCCGCCTCAACCTCCCAAAGTGCCTGGCCTTCATTTTTATTTTTGAACTTACCTGCCTCACCTCGTTATGTCTTTATCTTATTTTTAAACTTACTCAGTTCACCCACTGTGGAATTGGGAGTATATGGAAGTATTCCCACCCCCAGTTTTATATACCGCCCCAGAGCTGACCATTCTCGCTCATTTCCCCGGGTCCTGGCCGACTCGAGTGTGCCTTTCCTTCCGATCCTGCTCCACACAGATCTGAGGGATGCTGCCCTTTCCTTCTCCACCTGCCCCTCCCTCACATCCAGCCCCACCAGCCTACACGTTAGCTTAAATAGGGAGCTTTTACATTCCCCATGAAAGGGAATCCAGGGACAGGCTGAGGCAAGAGACCCCCAGTGTTCATGAGATGCCATCTAGAGAAAACACCGTGGTGCTGAAGGCCTAAGTCAGACCCCGGGGAGAGAGGCACCAGGGTGACTTTGGGTGGAGAGTCCTGTGCCTGTTCTACTTCTATAAATATACTCAGGTCAGGCACGGTGGCTCACGCCTGTAATCCCAGCACGTTGGGAGGCCGAGGCAGGCGGATCATTTGAGGTCAGGAGTTCAAGACTAGCCTGGCCAACATGGTGAAACCCCATCTCTACTAAAAATACAAAAAAATGGCTGGGCACAGTGGCTCACACCTGTAATCCCAGCATGTTGGGAGGCCAAGGCAGGCAGATCATTTGCGGTCGGGAGTTCAAGACCAGCCTGACCAACATGGAGAAACCCCGTCTCTACTAATAATACAAAAATTAGCCAGGCATGGTGGCACATGCCTGTAATCCCAGCTACTCGGGAGACTGAGGCATAAGAATCGCTTGAACCCAGGAGGCAGAGGTTCTGGTGAGCCGAGATCACGCCATTGCACTCCAGCCTGGGCAACAAAAAGCAAAACTCCATCTCAAAAAAAAAATACAAAAAAATGAGCTGGGCGTGGTGGCCTGCACCTGTAATCCCAGCTACTTGGGAGGCTGAGGCAGGAGAATCACTTGAACCCAGAAGGTGGAGGTTGCGGTGAGCAGAGACCACACCACTGCACTCCAGCCTGGGTGACAGAGTGAACCATGTCTCTAAATAAATAAATAATATGTTTGTCTGAAAGTGCCTTTTTAACAAAGTATGAGATGTGTACATAAAGTGCACATAGCGCAAGTGTCGCACGCAGTGGATTTTCACACGCAGCACGTGAAATGGGAAAACACTGGCCCGGCACGGTGGCTCACACCTGTCATCCCAGCACTTTGGGAGGCCGAGGCGGGCGGATCACAAGGTCAGGAGATCGAGACCATCCTGGCTAACACGGTAAAACCGCGTCTCTACTAAAAATACAAAAAATTAGCCGGGCGTGGTGGCGGGCGCCTGTAGTCCCAGCTACTTGGGAGGCTGAGGCAGGAGAATGGCGTGAACCCGGGAGGCGGAGCTTGCAGTGAGCCAAGATCGCGCCACTGCACTCCAGCCTGGGCGACAGAGCTAGACTCCGTCTCAAAAAAAAAAAAAAAAAGAAATGGGAAAACATTGAGGATGAAGTAGCAAATATTTGAGAATTCAACTTGATTGGTGGCTGTTGCAGGTTCATACGTGAGTGGTTACGTAGTGGGTAGTTAAACTGACAATGACCAGCTGAATTTTGGTGACAGGACTGCTCCTAAGGTTTGAAATGTAGCGTATCCTCTGATTCACGGGCTAAGCTCTGCCACTTAGCAGGAGGAGCTCATGATAGAGCAGGTTGAGGGGAAAACTTTGCCCCATAAGGGTTCTTCACTGCAAGTGAGAAGGTCTTGGCTTTGAGCCTCCAATTTCAATCAGACAGAAAGCAGACCAGTCGGCAGGACAGTATATGCCTCTGGAGATCCGTGCTGATGTGGGGGCCTCAGATACAAGATGCCTCAGGGCCCAGGCGTGACCCTCTCCTTCCCTCCTGCACGGAGATGCTGTGAGAATTAGACACTCCCACAGGGCCCTGTCAGACACTGAGCTAGCCTCTGGGAACCGGAAGATATTCAAAACACCAGCCACCCCCCACACACACAGACAAGGCGCTGGAGGGACAGCTGTGCAGCGGCAGAGCATGAGAGGTCTTGATCAGTTAACTCAGTGAGGTTAGGAGGCGAATTTTTTTTTTTTTGAGATGGAGTCTTACTTTGTCACCCAGTCAGGAGTGCAGTGGCGTGATCTCGGCTCACTGCAACCTCCGCCTCCTGGCCTCAAGTGATTCTTCCGCCTCAGCCTCCCGAGTAGCTGGGACTACAGGTGCGTGCCACCACACCCAGCTAATTTTTGTATTTTTGGTAGAGACAGTGTTTCACCACGTTGGACAGGCTGGTCTCAATCTCTTGACCTCGTTATCTGCCTGCCCTGGCCTCCCAAAGTGCTGGGATTATAGGTGTGAGCCACAAAGCCTTTTTGTTTTCATTTTTGAGATGGAGTCTCGCTCTGTCGCCCAGGCTGGAGTGCAGTGGCATGATCTCAGCTCACTGCAACCTCTGCATCCCAGTTCAAGCAGTTCTCCGCCTCGGCCTCCTGAGTAGCTGGGATCACAGGTGCCCGCCACCACACTTGGCTAATTTTTTGTATTTTTAGTAGAGATGAGGTTTCACCGTGGTGGCCAGGCTGGTCTCAAACTCCTGACCTCAAATGATCTGCCTGCCTCGGCTTCCCAAAGTGCTGGGATGACACTGAGCCACCGCGCCTGGCAAGGAGGTAACTTGATCCATACGTTTGCGTTTACATGGTGCGAGGAAAGGGCACCCTTGGTAGATGGAACAGCGTGTACAAAGGCCCGGAGGTTTAAAATCACCACTCTTCTAGCCCTCATACTAACTTTGCCTATTTTGAACTTTATATAAATGGAATTATATTGCATGTTCTCTTTTGTATCTGACTTCCTTTTCTCAATACTATATGAGTGGTATCCATGCCATTTAAAGTAATGGTGGATTAACTCAATGCTACGTCGCCTTCTAGTTGATGGAGGGCAGGCAAGACCCACAGTGGGGCTGAGCCCCTCGAGGGTTCCTGGCTTTGCCCAGGAAACAATTCAAGGGCAAGCTGGAAGTGAAAGTAAACAGGCCAGGCATGGTGGGAGTTACTACCCCTTTCCATGGCAATGACCCCACGACCCAAAAGTTACTACCCCTTCCCTAGAAACTTTTGCCTGGGCTGCCCCTTAATCTACATGAAATTAAAAGTGGGTGTAAATGTGGCTGCAGAACTGTCCTGAGCTGCTGCTCTCAGCACACTCTGCCCAGCACACCCCGCCTGCAGGGGCCGTCGCAGAGCTGTAACCCTGCCGCTTCAAGCTGTTTTGTTTTGTTTTTCTTTCGAGACAGTCTCGCTCTGCTCTTCCAGTTTGAATATCACGCAGGCTGGAGCGCAGTGGCGCAATCTCGGCTCACTGCAACCTCTGCCTCCTGGGTTCAAGCAATTCTGCCTCAGCCACCCGAGTAGCTGGGATTACAGGCACACGCCACCATGCCCGGCTAATTTTTGTATTGTATTAGAGACAGGGTTTCACCATGTTGGCGAGGCTGGTCCCGAACTCCTGGCCTCAAGTGATCTGCCCGCCGTCCGCCTCAGTGTCCCGAGGTGCTGGGATTACAGGTGTGAGCCACCGCACCCAGCAAAAGTGCTTTCTCGAGATGGAATCTGCGCCTGGTGAAGATGCTCTAAACATTGCTGAGATAACAAAGGATTTAGAATATTCCATAAACTTCGTTGGTACAGCAGCGATAGGGTTCGAGAGGATTTTCCAGTTGTGAGAGAAGGTCTGCTGTGGACAAAATGCTACCAAACAGCATCGCGTGCTACGGAGAAATCTTTTGTGAAAGGAAGAAGCTCAATGTGGCCAGCTTTATTGTTGTCTTATTTTAAGAAATTGCTGGCCGGGTGTGGTGGAGAATCACTTGAACCCAGGAGGCAGAGGTTGCAGTGAGCCGAGATCACGCCATTGAACTCCAGCTGGGCATAAGAGCAAAACTCCATCTCAAAAAAAAAAAAAAAAAGGAAGAAATTGCCACAGCCACCTCAGCCTTCAGCCACCACCACCCTGATCAGTCAGCAGCCACAAACAAGACCTTCCACCAGCAAAGAGATCCCAACTTCCTCAAGCCTCAGGTGATTGCTGGCACTTTCTATCAGTATCTTAGTTTTTTGTTTGTTTGTTTTTTAATTTTTGAGACAGAGTCTCACTCTCTTGCCCAGGCTGGAATGTAGTGGCACCATCTCGGCTCACTGCAACCTCCGCCTCCCAGGTTCAAGCGATTCTCTTACCTTAGCCTCCGGAGGAGCTGGGACTACAAGCACGCACCACCACACCCGGCTGATTTTTTTCCATTTTTAGTAGAGACGGGGTTTCACCATGTTGGCCAGGCTGGTCTCGAACTCCTGGCCTCAGGTGATCCGCCCACCTTGGCCTCCCACAGTGCTAGGATTACAGGTGTGAGCCACCACCCCCAGCCATTTTTTTTTTGAGACGAGGTCTTGCTTTGTTGCCCAGACTAGAGTGCAGTGACATTATCTCGGCTCACGGCAACCTCTGCCTCCCAGGCTGAAGCAATCCTCCCACCTCTGTCTCCCTAGTAGCTGGGACCACAGGTGCACACCCCCACACCCGGCTAATTTTTTGTATTTTTGGTAGAGACAGGGTTTCACCATGTTGCCCAGGCTGGTCTCCTGAGCTCATGCAATCTGCCCACTTGACCTCCCAAAGTGCTGGGATTACAGGTGTGAGCCACTGTGCCCAGCCTATTATTATTATTATTTATTGTTTTTTTGGTCTTGAGGGAGGGTAGGGTGGTGGGAGCCCAGTTGGGGAGGGAGTGAGGAGTGGTCAATAAAGTATTTTAAATTGAGGCATATGCATTGTTTTGTAAACATAATGTTATTGCACACCTGACTGCACTGTGGTATAAACATAACTTTTATATGCAGTGGAAAACCGAAAAATCCCTCCGACTGGCTTTATTGCGACATTTGTGTTATTGCGGTGTCTAGAACTGAACCGTGGTAACCCAGGCCCGCCTGTGCTAACTTCCAGCACTACCGAGGTTGACGCAGCTAGATGGTTTTCTCCCCGGCTGGTTGCTGCTTCTCACCCACAGAGGCGGTGGAGCCCTTGGAACTGGGCAGAACACAGGGCTGCCTTGTCACCACTGCCTGGCTGAACCTGAAATTGGGCCGTTTGACAGAAAGACTTGAAAGGGCCACCAGTAAATTCTTTTTTCTTTTCATTGATTTTCCTCTTCTTACTTTCCTCCTCCTGAAGTTGGGGTCATGTCCCAAGAAGACCCACAAGGCCTGGCCTGTGGGTGCACATGTGGGGAGGGTCAGGTCTGTCGGCTGAGGAGGGCATTGGTAGGGGACTTTGAGCAGTGCTGCTCCGGAGACACGAATGATGGGATGGGAGGCTCTCCCATATCTGCCGAGAGCACAGCACCCCATGACTCCTGGGAGCTTGTCATAGATGCTGCAGATGAGTCCTTCCTCAGACGGGATATTTGCTAATGCCTCTGCCAGCCTGGGCTTGTCTTCTCAGGGCCTTTCAAAATGCACACACCCTTCATTCTCATGATGTCCAGTGGATCAGGTTTTCCTTTATGTGTCATGCTTTTAGTGTTTAAGAATCATTTCTCTAACCCAAGTCACACTGACATCCTCCTTTTCATTCTTAACGCACATTTTACAGTTGTAGGCCTTACATTTTGGCTTATAATAAGTTCTGAGGCCAGGCACAGTGCTCACACCTGTAATCCTGGCACTTTGAGAGGCCAAGGCGGGTGGATCACCAGAGGTCAGGAGTTTGACACAAGCCTGGCCAACATGGTGAAACCCCGTCTCTACTAAAAATACAAAAAGTAGCCAGGTGTGGTGGCGGGCACCTGTAATCCCAGCTACTCCAGAGGCTGAGGCAGGAGAATCACTTGAACCTGGGAGACAGAGGTTGCAGTGAGTCAAGATTGTGCCACTGCCCTCCAACCTGGGCGAGAGAGTGAGACTCCATCTCAAAAAAATTAATAGTAAATTTTGAATGGATTTATATATGTACTGTCATGTATAGATTGAAGCTTCCATTCATATGTGTAGCCCCGTCATTCTAGTACCATTTGTTGCTAAGATTCTCCTTTCTCTGCTGAATTTGCTTACACTTATTTCAAAATCAGTTGAGCATGTATGTGAGGGTCTACTCTCGATCCTCTATTCTGTTCCACTGATCTATTTGTCTATCCTGTTACCAATGCCACACTGTCTGGATTTCTGAACCTTTATAACACATCTTGGGCCAGGTGCAAAGGTTCACGCCTGTAATCCTAGCACTTTGGGAGGCCGAGGTGGGTGGATCACTTGAGGCCAGGAGTTCAAGACCAGCCTGGCCAACATGGCGAAACCCGTCTCTACCAAAAATACAAAAACTAGCCAGGCATGGTGGTACACGCCTGTAATCCCAGCTACTCGGGAGGCTGAGGTACAAGAATCACTTGAGCCCCAGAGGCGGAGGCTGCAGTGAGCTGAGATCGTACCACTGCACTCCAGCCTGAGTGACAGAGCGAGCCTCCATCTCAAAAAAAAAAAAACCCAAATCTTGAAGCCAGGCATAGAATGCCCTCTCACTTGACCATTGTTTTCCAGAGCTGTTTTGATGATTGTAGGCCCACAGCATTGCCACACACTGAAACACAGGCCCATGAGCACACATATATGTATAATACAAATATAAGTGCACACCATGACGCAGTGAAATTTATCACAGGAATGCAAGGCTGGTTCAACATGAAATATGAGCCAATGGAATTCACCATATAAGCAGATTAAAAGACAAAAAGACGGCCGGACGTGGTGGCTCACATCTGTGATCCCAGCACTTTGGGAGGCTGAAGCAGGAGGATTCTGAGCAACATAGTGAGACCTGGTCTCTAAATAAATAAAATAAGACAAAAATACATCATCATTTCAGTAGACTTAGAAAAGGCATTTGACAGAATCCAGCAGGCTTATAAAGCTTTTTAATTATTTTTTTCTCCCTCTCCCTCTCCCTCTCCCTTCGGTCTCCCTCTGTTGCCGAGGCTGGACTGTACTGCTGTGGTCTCGGCTTGCTGCAGCCTCCCTGCCCCGGGCTCCCATGGTTCTCCTGCCTCGGCCTGCCAAGTGCCTGGGATTGCAGGCATGCACCGCCACGCCTGACTGGTTTTTGTATTTTTGGAGGAGACGGGGTTTTGCCCTGTTGACCGGGCTGGTCTCCGGCTCCTGACCTCCAATGGTCTGCCCGCCTCGGCCTCCCGGGGTGCTGGGATTGCAGACGGAGTCTTGCTCACTCAATGCTCAGTGTTGCCAAGGCTGGAGCGCAGTGGCGTGATCTCAGCTCGCCACAACCTCTACCTTCCAGCTGCCTGCCTTGGCCTCCCAAAGTGCTAAGATTACAGCCTCTGCCCGGCCGCCACCCCGTCTGGGAGGTGAGGAGCATCTCTGCCCGGCCGCCCATCGTCTGGGAGGTGAGGAGCGCCTCTGCCCGGCCGCCCGGTCTGGGAAGTGGGCGCCTCTGCCCAGCTGCCCCGTCTGGGAGGTGGGGGGCGCCTCTGCCTGGCTGCCCCGTCTGGGAGTTGAGGGGTGCCTCTGCCCGACCGCCCCACCTGGGAAGTGAGGGGCACCTCTGCCCAGCCACCGCCTTATCTGGAAGGTGGGGAGCGCCTCTGCCCGACTGCCCCGTCTGGGAAGTGGGCGCCTCTGCCCGGCCGTCCCATCTGGGGGGTGAGGAGCACCTCTGCCCGGCCACCCCGTCTGGGAGGTGAGGAGTGCCTCTGCCAGGCCGCCCCGTCTGGGAAGTGTACCCAACAGCTCCAAAGAGACAGCGACCATCGAGAACGGGCCATGATGACAGTGGCAGTTTTGTCAAAAAGAAAAGGGGGAAATGTGGGGAAAAGAAAGAGAGGTCAGATTGTTACTGTGTCTGTGTAGAAAGAAGTAGACATAGGAGACTCCGTTTTGTTCTGTACTAAGAAAAATTCTTCTGTCTTGGGATGCTGTTAATCTATAACCTTACCCCCAACCCCGTGCTCTCTGAAACGTGCTGTGTCAACTCAGGGTTAAATGGATTAAGGGCGGTGCCAGATGTGCTTTGTTAAACAGATGCTTGGAGGCAGCATGCTCGTTAAGAGTCATCACCATTCCCTAATCTCAACTACCCAGGGACACAAACACTGCGGAAGGCCGCAGGGACCTCTGCCTAGGAAAACCAGAGACCTTTGTTCACGTGTTTATCTGCTGACCTTCTCTCCACTATTATCCTATGACCCTGCCACATCCCCCTCTCTGAGAAACACCCAAGAATGATCAATAAATAAAAAATAATAATAATAAAATTTTTTTTTTTTTGAGATGGAGTCTCGCTCTGTCGCCTAGGCTGGAGTGCAGTGGCCCATCTCAGCTCACTGCAAGCTCCGCCTCCCGGGTTCACGCCATTCTCCTGCCTCAGCCTTAGGAGTAGCTGGGACTACAGGTGCCCGCCACCACGCCCAGCTAATTTTTTGTATTTCTGGTAGAGACGGGGTTTCATGGTGTTAGCCAGGATGGTCTCGATCTCCTGACCTCGTGATCCACCCGCCTCGGCCTCGCAAAGTGCTTGGGATTACAGGCGTGAGCCACCGCGCCAGGTCAGCTTTTTAAATTTTTTTTGTATTGTTGGTAGAGATGGGGTTTCATTTGGCCAGGCTGGTCTCCAACTCCTGACTTCGTGATCCGGCCGCCTCCGCCTCCCAAAGTGCTGGGATTACAGACGTGAGTCACCCTGCCCGGCCGCCTGTTCACTTTATTACTTGGAGACCGTATTCCATTCCCATAACCCAGGGGAGGAGGCACGCACGAGCCGACACCAGCAGGTGGGGCAGGAAACGCAGCCAGCGCGGAACCGGACGCCCAGGAGCCGGCCCCGGGCTGCCCACGACGGGGCCGCCGGAGAGGACTCGCGGCGCCCCCTCCTGGATGTGGCCGGCGGCGCGCGAGGAAGGAGCCGCCCCGAACGCGCGAGCGAGGCCGGGACTCGGGCGCCCTCTGCCGGCCGCTCTGAGGGACCGGGGCGGGGGGGCGTGTCTCCCGGTCACGTGACCTGGAAACCCCGCCCCCAAACCGAGGGGAACTTGCGGCCCCAAGACGCGGCGCGCTTACGAGGGCGCGCGAGGCGCCGCACGGGGGAGGCTTCTCCGAAAGCCGCGAGGGCAGCTCCCGTGTGTCCGCTGTGCAAACCGGTCCTTCCGCCAAAAACCTGCTGTCTGGCTTTTCTCAGGTAAGAACTACCCAAAAGCTAGACGACATTTTCAGAACATACAAGTACAAATAAGAAGAGGGAAAATCACCCGCAGTTCACCCCTGAGCCGCGCGCATTCCTTAGATCTCCGTGTTTCTTCCTAAAGGAACGTGGCCTGATACACAGGTGAGCTTTATTAGAACGCGGGCTGATACACAGGTGAGCTTTATTAGAACGCGGGCTGATACACAGGTGAGCTTTATTAGAACGCGGGCTGATACACAGGTGAGCTTTATTAGAACGCGGGCTGATACACAGGTGAGCTTTATTAGAACGCGGGCTGATACACAGGTGAGCTTTATTAGAACGCGGCCTGATACACAGGTGAGCTTTATTAGAACGCGGCCTGATACACAGGTGAGCTTTATTAGAACGCGGCCTGATACACAGGTGAGCTTTATTAGAACGCGGCCTGATACACAGGTGAGCTTTATTAGAACGCGGCCTGATACACAGGTGAGCTTTATTAGAACGCGGCCTGATACACAGGTGAGCTTTATTAGAACGCGGCCTGATACACAGGTGAGCTTTATTAGAACGCGGCCTGATACACAGGTGAGCTTTATTAGAACGCGGCCTGATACACAGGTGAGCTTTATTAGAACGCGGCCTGATACACAGGTGAGCTTTATTAGAACGCGGCCTGATACACAGGTGAGCTTTATTAGAACGCGGCCTGATACACAGGTGAGCTTTATTAGAACGCGGCCTGATACACAGGTGAGCTTTATTAGAACGCGGCCTGATACACAGGTGAGCTTTATTAGAACGCGGCCTGATACACAGGTGAGCTTTATTAGAACGCGGCCTGATACACAGGTGAGCTTTATTAGAACGCGGCCTGATACACAGGTGAGCTTTATTAGAACGCGGCCTGATACACAGGTGAGCTTTATTAGAACGCGGCCTGATACACAGGTGAGCTTTATTAGAACGCGGCCTGATACACAGGTGAGCTTTATTAGAACGCGGCCTGATACACAGGTGAGCTTTATTAGAACGCGGCCTGATACACAGGTGAGCTTTATTAGAACGCGGCCTGATACACAGGTGAGCTTTATTAGAACGCGGCCTGATACACAGGTGAGCTTTATTAGAACGCGGCCTGATACACAGGTGAGCTTTATTAGAACGCGGCCTGATACACAGGTGAGCTTTATTAGAACGCGGCCTGATACACAGGTGAGCTTTATTACTGATTTTTTTTTTTTATGGGGAATCTCGCTCTGTCGCCCAGGCTGGAGTGCAATGGTGCGATCTCGGCTCTCTGCAACCTCCGCCTCCCGGGTTCCAGTGATTCTCCTGCCTCAGCCTCCCGAGTAGCTGGGATTACGTGCGCCACCACGTCCGGCTCATTTTTTTGTATTTTCAGTAGGGACGGGGTTTCATCATGTTGGCCAGGCTGGTCTCAAACTCCTGGCCTCAAATGATCCGCCCACCTCAGCCTCCCAAAGTCCTGGCGTTACAGGCATGAGCCACCGCGCCCGGCCTAGTATTGAATATTTCAAACATACAAACAGGTTTTTTAAAAATAATGAGCCCCATGCCTGACCTCTCCCCTTAAACACATGCTCAGAGCCCCCCGAGTCGCCCTCTCCCCTCCATCCAGGGTCTCCTGGAGGCCTCTGCCGCCTGAGTTCTGTCTCCGTCCTTTCTGTTCCCTGAGGCCGTGCTCACCCCTACGCCTTCCCAGATGGCGAGGGCCTTTCCTGCGCCTCTGAACAATTTGGAAACGCTGCACAATGCGCACCCACCCGCCAGCTGCTGGTTCCATTCAACAGAATTGGGGTGGGAATTGTCCATATTGAGACCGCGTCGGTTATTCATCTCAGCTGCTGTTGACTACTCCGCTGCCTGAACACCGGCATTTACTCACCGATGCTCTCGTCTTGTCTGACTTTATGCAAACACTGCCACCGCCAGCGTACTCCGGACCTCTGTGTGCCCAGACACGGGGCAGACGCCCTGCCAGGCCCAATCGCCCCCCAGCGGTGGCTCTCAGAATTTACGCTCCCGCCCCAGGGCACAGGCTCCCTCCCCGCTCCAGACCTTCACTAGCCACTGGTTCGACTGCCTCAGGCCTCCCTGTCCCCACCCTAGTCATGAGAATATGAAATGGTAACTCACCATGGGTCTAGCTGGCATTTCACCAAGTACTAGTCAGGCATACTTCCGCTTGGTTCTGCCTGTTCCTACCCTTTGCTTTGTGCGTTTTGAGACAGGCATCTGGAGTGCAGTGCCATGATCACAGGTCACTGCAGTCTGAACCACCTGGGCTCAAGCAACCCTCCTGCCTCAGCCTCCCGAGAAGCTGCGACTACAAGCACACACCACTGTGCCCAGCTAATTTTTGTATTTTTGGCAGGGACGGGATTTTGCCATGTTTTCCAGGCTGGCCTTGAACTCCTAGCTCAAGCAACTGGCCCACCTCAACCTCTCAAAGTGCTAGGATTATAGGTGTGAGCCCCTGCACCCAGCCAAGAGATATTTTCAAAAACAATTACAGCCCGGTGAGGTGGCTCACGCCTGTAATCCCAGCACTTTGGGAGACCGAGGCGGGCAGATCACGAGGTCAGGAGATCGAGACCATCCTGGCTAACACGATGAAACCCCGTCTCTACTAAAAAATACAAAAAATTAGCTGGACGTGGTGGCGAGCGCCTGTAGTCCCAGCTACTCGGAAGGCTGAGGCAGGAGAATGGCGTGAACCTGGGAGGCAGAGGTTGCAGTGAGCCGAGATCACGCCACTGCACTCCAGCCTGGATGACAGAGCAAGACTCCGTCTCAAAAAAAAAACGATTAAAATCAGCTGCCCAAAACAGCTCTCATAACCCAAATGAAGGCAGAAAAGGGAAGATAAGATACAGGAAACAAATAGCATGAATGGAAAAATAAAAAAATCTAAATCCAAATATATCAATAATTACATTAAATGCAAATGGTCCAAGCATATTAATCAATTCTTTTTTTGAAAGAGTGTCTTGCTCTGTCATGCAGGCTGGAGTGCAGTGGTACGATCACGGCTCACTGCAGTCTCAACCGCCTGGGTTCAAGTGATTCTCACTTTATCCTCCAGAGTAGCTGAGACTACAGGCACGCACCACAATGGCTGGCTGATTTCTGGTTTTTTTGTTTTGTTTTGTTTTGTTTTGTTTGAGACAGAGTCTCACTCTGTCGCCCAGGCTGGAGTGCAGTGGCGCGATCTCAGCTCACTGCAAGCTCTGCCTCCCGGGTTCAGGCCATTCTCCTGCCTCAGCCTCCCAAGTAGTTGGGACTACAGGCGGCCGCCACCACGCCTGGCTAATTTTTTGTATTTTTTAGTTGAGACGGGGTTTCACTGTGTTAGCCAGGATACTCTCGATCTCCTGACCTCGTGATTCGCCCACCTCGGCCTCCCAAAGTGCTGGGATTACAGGCGTGAGCCACCGCACCTGGCCATTTCTGTACTTTTTGTAGAGATGGAGTTTCACCATGTTGCCCAGGCTGGTCTCAACTCCTGAGCTCAAGCAATCCGCCCACCTTGGCCTCCCAAAGTGCTGGGATTACAGGAGTGGGCCACCTCACCTGCCCTTTTTTTGTTTTGTTCTGGTAAATAAATTCTGACATTCTCTGTATACATTTTCTTTTCTTTTGAGACAGAGTTTCACTCGTTCCAAAGCGCAAAGGTTGGAGTGCAGTGGCGCAATCTCGGCTCACTGCAACCGTCACTTCTTGGGTTCAAGCGATTCTCCTGCATCAGCCTCCCAAGTAGCTGGAATTACAGGCATGTGCTTCCACGCCCGGCTAATTTTTGTATTTTTAGTAGAGACGAGGTTTCACCATGTTGGCCAAGCTGGTCTCTGTATATATTTTCTATGTACAGAGATAATCTATTACTGTTGTAAAACAACAATATATAGTTTTTTGTTTTGTTTTGTTGAGACTGAGCCTCGCTATATCACCCAGGCTGGAGTGCAATGGCGCCATCTCTGCTCACTGCAGCCTCCACCTCCCAGGTTCAAGCGATTCTCCCTCCCCAGCCTCCTGAGTGGCTGGGATTACAGGCACGCACCACCATGCCTGGCTAATTTTTGTATTTTTAGTAGAGGCAGAGTTTCACCACGTTGGTCATGCTGGTCTCGAACTCCCGAACTCAGGTGATTCGCTCGCTTTGGTCTCAAAGGCGGGATTACAGCATGAGCCACCTCGCCCAGCAATATATAGTTTTAAAAAGCAATCTGGGGGCCGGGCGTGGTGGCTCATGCCTGTAATCCCAGCACTTTGGGAGGCTGAGGCAGGCAGATCATGAAGTCAGGAGTTTGAGACCAGCCTGACCAACATGGTGAAACCCCATGTCTACTACAAATACAAAAATTAGCCACGTGTGGTGGTGGGCACCCATAATCCCAGCTACTCAGGAGGCTGATGCAGGAGAATCGCTTGAACCCTGGAGGTGGAGGTTGCAATGACCCAAGATTGCGCCACTGCACTCCAGCCTGGGCAACAGAGACTCCATCTAAAAAAAAAAAAGCCGGGGTTGGGGGGCCGGGCGCGGTGGCTCACGCCTATAATTCCAGCACTTTGGGAGGCCCAGGCAGGTGGATCATGAGATCAGGAGTTCAAGACCAGCCTGGCCAATATGGTGAAATCCTGTCCGTAAAAATACAAAAATTAGCCGGGTGTGGTGGCGCACGCCTGTAGTCCCAGCTACTCAGGAGGCTAAGGCAGAAGAAACACTTGAACCTGGGAGGCAGAGGTTGCAGTGAGCCGAGATTGTGCCACTGCACTCCAGCCTGCGTGACAGAGCAAGATCCTGTCTCAAAAAAGAATAATAAACAAAATAAAAAGAAAACTACAAGATCTGAAGAAAAAAATTTAAAGACCTAAATAAATGGAGAGACATACCACATTCTTACATGCAGACATACTATCATACAGGTATCGGTTCTCGGTAATTGATCTATGGATTCATTGCAATTCCAATCAAAATCCCAGCAGGACTTTCTGTAGATTTAGACAAACTGATTCTAAATGCACCACACGTGGAAAAATGAAAGAAGACTCACATAACCCAACGTTACACTGACTGTGGAGTGACAGCGTGAGGCCAGCTTGGTGTTGGAGAAGGGGCAGACACACACCGAGGGAAGACGATGGAGATCCCAGAAACGGACGCACACAAATATGGCTCATGGATTATTGACCAAGGTACACAAGCAATTCAGTAGAGAAAGGAAGATCTGGCCGGGCGCGGTGGCTCACACCTGTAATCCCAGCACTTTGGGAGGCTGAGGCGGGTGGTTCACCTGAGGTCGGGAGTTCAAGATCAGCCTGACCAACATCGAGAAACCCCGTCTCTACTAAAAATACAAAATTAGTCAGGCATGGTCGCAGGTGCCTGTAATCACAGCTACTCGGGAGGCTGAGGCAGGAGAATCGCTTGAACCCGGGAGGCGGAGGTTGTAGTAAGCCGAGATTGCACCATTGCACTCCAGCCTGGGCAAAAAGAGTGAAACTCTGTCTCAAAAAAATAAATTAATTAATTAAAATAAAATAAAAAAGAGAAAGGAAAATCTTTTCAACAAGCAGTGTGGGAACAACTGGGCATTCTTATGCAGAAAAATGAATCTTGACCTAAACGTCATAACTTAGACCTATGATCCATTTTGAGACAATCTTGTATAAGTATAAAATATAAAAACTGGTGGGGCATAGTGGCTCATGCCTGTAATCCCAGCACTTTGGGAGGCCGAGGCGGGTGAATCATGAGGTCAGGAGATCAGGACCATCCTGGCCGACATGGTGAAACCCTATCTCTACTAAAATACAAAAACAAAAATTAGCTGGGCGTGGTGGTGCCTGCCTGTAGTCCCAGCTACTCAGGAGGCTGAGGCAAGGTAATCACTTGAACCCAGGAGGTGGAGGTTGCAGTGAGCCAAGATCTCACCGCTGCACTCCAGCCTGGAGACAAAGCAAGACTCCGTCTCAAAAAAAAAAAAAAATAGACAACTTGGGGCCGGGCGCGGTGGGTCACACCTGTAATCCCAGCACTTTGGGAGGCCGAGGCGGGCAGATCACCTGAGGTCGGGAGTTTGAGACCAGCCTGGCCAACATGGTGAAACCCTGTCTCTACTAAAAATACAAAAATCAGGCCAGGCACGGTGGCTCACGCCTGTAATCCCAGCACTTTGGGAGGCCAAGGCGGGCGGATCACGAGGTCAGGAGATCGAGACCATCCTGGCTAACACGGTGAAGCCCCATCTCTACTAAAAACACAAAAAATTAGCCGGCCGTGGTGGCGGCCGCCTGTAGTCCCAGCTACTCGGGAGGCTGAGGCAGGAGAATGGCGTGAACCCAGTAGGCGGAGCTTGCAGTGAGCCGAGATCGCGCCACTGCACTCCAGCCTGGGTGACAGAGGTGACAGAGTGAGACCCTGTCTCAAAGAAAAAAAAAAAAATCTCAAAAACATAACCAAATTAAAAAACCAGTTTCCAAAATGAACAAAGGGCTGGGTGAAGTGGCTCATGCCTGTAATCCGAATACTTAGAGAGGCTGAGGCAGAAGGATCACTTGAGGCCAGGAGTTTGAGACCAGCCTGGCCAACATAGTGAGACCTGGTCTGTACGAAAAATTAAAAAAGCATTTAGCCAGGCATGCTGGTGCACGCCTGTAGTCCTAGCTACTCGGGAGACTGAAGCAGAAGGATCACTTAAGCCAGGCAGGTTGAGGCTGCAGTGAGCTACCATCACACCACACTCCAGCCTGGGGGACAGAGCCAGACCCTGTCTCCAACAAATAAATAAATAGGCCAGGCGCGGTGGCTCACACCTATAATCCCGGCATGATCCTTCCCTTTGGGAGGCCAAGGCAGGCAGATCACCTGAGGTCAGGAGTTCAAGACCAGTATGGGCAACCTGGTGAAACCGTGTCTCTACTAAAAGTATAAAAAATTAGCCGGGCGTGGTGGCAGGTGCCTGTAGTCCCAGCTACTCGGGAGGCTGAGGCAGGAGAATCGCTTGAAACTGTGAGGCGGAGGCTACAGTGAGCCAAGATCGCACCACTGCACTCCAGCCTGGGCGACAGTGAGACTCCGTCTCAAAAGTAATAAAATAAAAACAAAACTAAAAATAAGATGAAGACTTGAACAAAAACTTCAGCAAAGGGGACCTGCAGCAGGCACACAGCGCTAAGGAGACGTCCAGGCTGTGGCCACCAGCCAACTGCAAACTGAAACCATAACGAGATCCCGCAACACGCCCAAGATGAAAATCACGGGCGACAGGACTCCGATGCATCCCGGCTGAGAAGGCAAGGGGCCCGGCACGCTGGACAGTCAGGTGCAGAGTCAGGCACATACCACAGGACCCAGCAACCCCGCCCCCAGTGTCTCCCCTAACAAACTGAAAGTCTACGTCCTCGGGGGGCACGGTACACAAATGCCTATGGAGGAGGCTCCAGTCGTAACAGGCAAGATCTGGCAGCAAACTAAATATTCTTTAGCAGGTGAACAACCTGTGCTACATCCCTACAAAGAAATACTGCTCAGTGGCCGGGCACGGTGGCTCATGCCTGTAATCCCAGCACTTTGGGAGGCCCAGGTGGGTGGATCACCTGAGGTCAGGAGTTGGAGACCAGCCTGGCCAACATGGCAAAACCCCGTCTCTACTAAAAATACAAAAATTAGCCAGGCATGGTGGTGGGCACCAGTAGTCCCAGCTACTGGGGAGGCTGAGACAGGAGAATTGCTTGAACCTGGGAGGCGGAGGTTGCAGTGAGCCAAGATCACGCCACTGCACTCCAGCCTGGGCGACAGAGCGAGACACCGTCTAAAAAAAGAAAAAAAAAGAAATATTGTTCAGCAAAAATGCACAGGCACACACACCAATCTTCTAATGTTAGAAATTTTGGGACTGGCCAGGTGCGGTGGCTCACGCCTGTAATCCCAGCACTTTGGGAGGCCGAGGCGGGCAGATCATGAGGTCAGGAGCTCCAGACCATCCTGGCTAACACGGTGAAACCCCGTCTCTACAAAAATACAAAAAAATTAGCCGGGTGTGGTGGCGGGCACCTGTAATCCCAGCTACTCAGGAGGCTGAGGCAGGAGAATCACTTGAACCCAGGAGGTAGAGGTTGCAGTGAGCTGAGATCGCGCCACTGCATGCCAGCCTGGCCAACATCAAGACTCCATCTCAAAAAAAAAAATTTGCAACGTGCCGTGTGGCACTGTGCTAACCACGAGCACCTTGCGCAGTGAACTCTGGGACTCACGCATCTTCCCAGACTGAAATCTGTTATCAGTTGAACAGCAACTCCCAGCTCCCCTCCCCAGCCCCTGCCCACGGCCACCCTACTTTCTGCTTCTGAGTTTGACTGCCTCACAGCAGAGAGTCATGCACTTGGCAAAACGATAGGGTAAGGGTTTTGTTTAGTTTTGGTTTTTTTGAGACGGAGTCTTGCTCTGTCCCCCAGGCTGGAGTGCAGTGGCGCTATCTTGGCTCACTGCAAGCTCTGCCTCCCAGGTTCACGCCATTCTCCTGCCTCAGCCTCCCGAGTAGCTGGGATTACAGGCGCCCGCCACCACGCCCGGCTAATTTTTTTTTTTTTTTTTTTGAGACAGAGTTTCGCTCTTGTTGCCCAGGCTGGAGTGCAATTCCGCGATCTCGGCTCACCGCAACCTCCACCCACTGGGTTCAATCGATTCTCCTGCCTCAGCCTCCCAAGTAGCTGGGATTACAGTCATCCACCACCACACCCGGCTAATTTTGTATTTTTTTAGTAGAGACAGGGTTTCTCCATGTCGGTCAGGCTAGTCCCGAACTCCTGACCTCAGGTGATCCGCCCGCCTCGGCCTCCCAAGGGCTGGGATTACAGGCGTGAGCCACCGCACCCGGCCAATTTTTGTATTTTTAATAGAAACAGGGTTTCACCGTGTTGGCCAGGCTGGTCTTGAACTCCTGACCTCAGGTGATCCACCCGCCTCAGCCTCCCAAAGTGCTGGGATTACAGGCTTGAGCCACCGTGCCCGGCCTGAAACTCTACATTTTTATCCAGGCCTCCCTGGATGGATGTTGGGAGAGTTTACGCGTGGCCTTGTGGGATCGCTGTGGCGGACTCTCAGCTATCAGAGGGCTCCATCACTCCATCGTAAGGAGGCAGCTGGTGGCGAGTCCTGAGCAGGGATGTGATCCGACGGGCAGGCGGCGCCCGGGACAGAAGCTGACGTCACACAGGTGAGTCCCCCACCTCCCCACAGGCTTCCTCCACCCCCTCGGCAGCCCAGCAGGGCCTGTCAATCAGTGGGACCTGGTCAGCTGGCTGCTAGGGGACCTCAGGCAGGGGGGCTTGTCCGCAGGGCCTCCAGCAAGGGGGGACATTCATGACACCCAGCAGGGCTCAAGAAGGTGAGACAGAGGGACACTGAACCCAGCCCTTTACAGAAGACCTGAGTCCACCGAGGAAGGGGGCCAACCCCCTCCCCGCGTCTGCATCCCCAGGACCACCCCGGGTGGAGAGGGCCGAGTGTGGTGCCTCCGCGGGTGCTCTGACGATCGTCTCGAGCCACGGGGGTGACAGTGACAAGGACCTGTGTGCACGTTAGTGGGGCAGCCAGGCCTAGCTGGAGAAGAAACACACACACGCACACGTTCACCCACATACACGTGCACACACATGCTGCCAGTTCAGGGGGTGGAGGACGCTGACTCCAGGCCCAGCTGACCTGCGCGGGGCCCTATTGTGATGTGTGCAGCCACCCCATGACGTCACCGGTGCCAAGTGCCGGCTGTGTGCGGAGCAGTTGGAGACACAGTGGGTGTCCGAGGGGGGGCTCTGCGTCCGGAGGTGAGAGGTGGGTCTCAACACAGCTGCCCTCCCCCATGGTATGGTGACAGTCACTAACAGGTGGCCTGCGCTGGCCTCCACGTGGCTGCCAAGGGCCATCCCTGAGCACTCAGCGGGTGCCTGTTCCACACGGACTATGAAAATGACTGTCTCGTTCACCTCACGGCGACCCCGTGGGGTGGATACGAACTCACGCCATTTGACAGGCGAGACGTCCGAGGTCAGAGGGGAGGAGACGGACCCGACCTTCCTTGGCTGTGCTCTCCAGCCCTGTCCTGTGCTGGACCCAACCTAACCTCTGCAGCCTCCCTGCCCTGGACACAAATCTGGCTGAGACCCCAGACCCTGATGGGGCAGAGCCTGGCACTGGAGGAGCCACCAGGATGGGCCCCTGTGGGTGTGGGCAGAGGGTGATCCTCAGTTCAGGTTTTTGCCAGAAGATGGGTTCCTGCAGGAGGGGGTCTCAGCAGCTCAGACTTCAGATGCGCTCACTGCTGCTCACTGTGGGACAGCCAGACACGGAGCCCTCTGTTCTCCAGCAGTTGTGGACAATGAGGGATCCCTGGAGGGATGCCTGGTGGGCAGCAGGAGTCCCTCTTGTGGGTCAGGGTGCGGGGATGGGCTCTCCCTGCAGGGACTTCCCAGTCTTGTCCTCTGGGATTGGCAGTTTGCAGGGGTATCCTCGGCATCAGACCAGGGGGGCCACACAGGGACCCAGATCTATGGGGCCCAGCCCCGGGAAGACCAGATGGGCTCAGTGGAGAAGCTGACCACATCTGCTTTCCTTTCAGCCAAACCGGGGAGCGTCCCGGCACCCAGGCCTCTGCGGGTAACCCCAGGCATCAAGACCCTCCCTCAAGGGGAGGAGCTGGCTCTCCCCTGCCCATCAGCACAGCTCCAGAATCCCAAGGGGTCAGCTCCCACATGGGGGCCTGGTCCTGCCACACACTGGCCTAGCTGGGCTGTCCCCGAGGCCAAGGCCTAGCGGCATGAGGGGGCTTCCGTGGAGCCCAGGGCAGTGGGCTGCTCTCTGGAGTCCCTAGGACTCGGGGTGTGGCTGGCCTGTCCCCAGATCAGGACACACCCCAGGTTGTCCAGTGGTTCCCGTGCTGGAACTCCTGTTGAAGCCACCCAGGGACCTGGATGCTTCCCACAGTTCAGCATGGAGCAGGGGTGCTGGGCCCTGACCCCTCCACGTCTGTCCTGGACACCCCAGGACCACAGCACAGGCCCAGCCCTGCAACCCCAGCGGGGCCCTGATACCAGGCCCTGCCCAGCCCCGTAATGACCAAGAGGCAGGTCCAGAGATACCTCCTGCACAGGGTCACCTGCATCTGACGCCCCCAGCAGGCAGTGACCAGCACGGTGTGGAAGGAGCCAGGGTGGCACCCGGCAGCCCTAGAGGGCTCCTGGCCTCGGGAAGTCTATCGATGGGGAAGCTGGTCACTCGGAGGCTGCTGGGGAGAAGGGGGAGTGTGGCATTCCCTGGACAGAAGGGCAAGTGTGGCGTCCCCTGGAGAGAAGGGCGAGTGTGGCGTCCCCTGGAGAGAAGGGCGAGTGTGGCGTCCCCTGGAGAGAAGGGCGAGTGTGGCGTCCCCTGGACAGAAGGGGGAGTGTGGCGTCCCCTGGAGAGAAGGGGGAGTGTGGCGTCCCCTGGAGAGAAGGGGGAGTGTGGCGTCCCCTGGAGAGAAGGGCGAGTGTGGCGTCCCCTGGACAGAAGGGGGAGTGTGGCGTCCCCTGGAGAGAAGGGGGAGTGTGGCGTCCCCTGGAGAGAAGGGGGAGTGTGGCGTCCCCTGGAGAGAAGGGGGAGTGTGGCGTCCCCTGGAGAGAAGGGCGAGTGTGGCGTCCCCTGGAGAGAAGGGCGAGTGTGGCGTCCCCTGGACAGAAGGGGGAGTGTGGCGTCCCCTGGAGAGAAGGGCCAGTGTGGCGTCCCCTGGAGAGAAGGGGGAGTGTGGCGTCCCCTGGAGAGAAGGGGGAGTGTGGCGTCCCCTGGACAGAAGGGGGAGTGTGGCGTCCCCTGGAGAGAAGGGCCAGTGTGGCGTCCCCTGGAGAGAAGGGCGAGTGTGGCGTCCCCTGGACAGAAGGGGGAGTGTGGCGTCCCCTGGAGAGAAGGGCGAGTGTGGCGTCCCCTGGAGAGAAGGGCGAGTGTGGCGTCCCCTGGAGAGAAGGGGGAGTGTGGCGTCCCCTGGACAGAAGGGGGAGTGTGGCGTCCCCTGGAGAGAAGGGCGAGTGTGGTGTTCGCTGGAGAGAAGGGCGAGTGTGGTATTCCCTGGACAAAAGGGGGAGTGTCCCTGCAGCCCTGGCCAGCCAGCGGCATGCCCTGCTAGCTCTCCCCCAACCTCAGGGATAGGGAACCCTGACAGGGCACAAGTCCCCGTCCCAGAGGGGCCTGGCCCAGCCTCAACCCGGGCCCTGGGAGGGGAGGGGCACCAGGGGCGCTGTGGGCCCCCAGCAGAAGCCAGGATGACCACACAGGGGACTGAGCTGTCTGTGGCTGTGGCCAGACCTAGAACTTGGCCCAAGGCAGGGCAAGCCCCTTGGAGCAGAGTGGGTGGCAGAGCCTGTGTATACCCAGCAAGGCTGAGCCAGTGACACTACCAGGCTCCAAGAGCAACCAGCCATGAGGCAGGCGTGGGGCAAGGGTAGGGTGAGGGCAGGGGCGGGGGAGAGTGGGGCAGGAGCAGACGGACCAGCTGCCAACCTCGTCCACTCCAGGAGGCAGGGATGGCCAGGCTCCCACGCCCTACTGGCCGCTACCCGACCACCAATGAGGCAGAGGCCTGAGGCCAGTCGGTGCTGGAGCCCTACTTCCAAGGTCCACAGACCGCTTCAGGCCACAGAGCCGAAGAAAACTGGGCATGTGAAGGCCCAGGAGGCGGGGTCCCTATGTCTGCCATTCTTGGCAGGTGCATTTCACGCTGGGAGCAAGTCAGGAAAGGTGATGCCTCTCACCGCCAAGAAGGCTCCCAGCAGAGACCAGAGCCACCGGCACAGATCCCCAACCCCTGAAACCACCTCCCTCTGGAGGACCAGGACGCCCTCCTAGTTGGTAGAAGCACAGTAAGCTCTCTGTCCTTATGATCTGCCTGCTTGTCCAGAGCTCTCTGCCAGAAGCCGTGGACACTGGGGCAGGCGGGAGGAGAGAGCACCACAGCCCAGACCCCTGACCGGCCTCTCCCAACCTCCCCCTCCCAAAGGCTATGGAGAGCCCAGGGCTGGACAGGCCTGAGGTTCCGACATACCTCATGCCAGGCCACACGCGCACCGTGTCCCACCCTCAGCCGAAAACCAAGATCAAGACCATCCAATAATTTACTGTGATCCCATCTGTGCCCGACAAGGGCCCACAGAGGCCTGGGAGGGGAGCTAAGGGCTGGGGTTCCGGTGGCATTTGGGATGTTCAAGACAGTCTGTGCACAGCCTCCCTGGGAGGGTCTGCAGTCACCTCGGCCCACGGTCCCGGGGTGACTGGGCTCCAGCAGCCCTTCCTTCCTTCCTTGCTTCCGTCCTTCCTTCCTCCTCCTTCCGTCTGCACCTCCTTCCTGCATCCGGCACCTCCATGTCCTGAGCTTGTGCTGGGCGGGGCACAAGGGAGGCTGCTGACCGCAGGCCAGGAGACCGGCAGGGGCGGGGAGCCGGGGTCATCCGGTGGGCGTGGCGGCCGCCCTGGGAGTCCCCCTCACCTGCGTCAGGAGAGCACACACTTGCAGCTCATGCAGCCGGGGCCACTCTCATCAGGAGGGTTCAGCTTCCGCAGCTTGTGCTGCCGGATCTCACGCACCAACGTGTAGAAGGCATCCTCCACTCCCTGGGAAAGGAGGGATGGGATCAGGAGGGACCGGCCTGTGGCCGCCTGCCTGGGTGAGGGGCTCCCTGCTGTGGGATCAAGCCTTGCCTGGCCCGAAGCTCCCGACTCCACCAGCCACTTCCCCAGGCCCACCACACACACGGGAAGCTGGACTCTGGCCATCTCGAAGTGCCCAGGGCCACCCGCATCATGCTACAGCAGCCCCTCAAAGGTCAGGGTGGCCCGGGGCCCTCCTGAACTCCAGGTCTGGCCAGGGTTTGACCACCCTGCACCCAGCTCTCGACTCAGCTACGGCCCGTGTCCCCAGTAGCCCCACTAAGACTCAGAACCAACAGGTGCCCGTGGGACACTCTGGGGACAAGAGGGGCCGGGCCCCAGGGTCACCGCTCCGGCCTGGCTCAGGGCAGCTCTCCCCAAGGACCTCCGCCTTCCCCGGAGCTGTGTCGGCCCAGGACTGCAGGGCGTGAGCCCAGACCCCGGCCCTCGCCTCCCTCACTGCCCTGCCGTCCCGGGAGACTTACAGCGCGAGGGGCCGCTGGGTCACATGGGTCCCGGGGGGTCCCAGAGGGTCCCGGAGCTGGAGCTAGAGCCAGAGCGGCTGCCCTGTGTCAAGGGAGAGGGTCAGTGAGTGCTGCTCCCTGGCTGGGGCGGGGCGGGGCGGGTCCCTGGCTAGCTGTGGGGTGGAGAGCTGCCTCACCTGCCGGGTCTTGGCCGAGGTCTCGATGTAGGGGATGCCGTAGCTTCGGGCGAGGTCCTGAGCCTGCCGAGATTCCACAGTGCGTGCAGCCAGGTCACACTTGTTCCCCACCAGCACCATGGGCACGTCATCCGAGTCCTTCACCCGTTTGATCTGCTCCCTGAGAGGTGGAAAGCGAGAGCTGGCTACGGGGGCTGCAGGCGCAGCGGCATCCAGGACATGCGCAGAGAGGACAGGAGGCCCCTGCCTGGACGCAGCCGGCCTGGCCCCACCTGTGCGGCGTGGGCTCCCGGGCCAGCCTCACGGGGTTCACCTGTACTGGTGGATGTCCTCAAAAGACTTGGTGTTGTTGATGGCAAACACACACAGGAAGCCCTCCCCGGTGCGCATGTACTGGTCCCGCATGGCGCTGTACTCCTCCTGGCCGGCGGTATCCAGGATGTCCAACAGGCACGTCTCCCCATCAATGACCACCTGCTTCCGGTAGGAATCCTGCAGGAGGACAGGGCTCAGGGACCCCCTCAGGACCTTCCGTGGGGGGAGTTCACACAGCCAGCCTCTCCCTGGTACCTCTCATGCCCCTCATGCCCCCTCCTCTCCTGGGGTGCTGAGACGAGGGACTCCCCTCCTCTAGAGGAAGCAGGAGACAGGGCCACAGCACCATGCAGGGGACCAGGGGCTGCAGCCAGCCCTATCCTGGCTGTGTCCTGGGCTCGCCCGCAGCAGCTGCTGGCACCTGGACGGCGGCGCCAGGCTCACCTCTATAGTGGGGTCGTATTCGTCCACAAAATGGTTCTGGATCAGCTGGATGGTCAGCGCACTCTTGCCCACACCGCCGGCGCCCACCACCACCAGCTTATATTCCGTCATCGCTCCTCAGGGGCCTGCGGCCCGGGGTCCTCCTACAGGGTCTCCTGCCCCACCTGCCAAGGAGGGCCCTGCTCAGCCAGGCCCAGGCCCAGCCCCAGGCCCCACAGGGCAGCTGCTGGCAGGGCCATCTGAAGGGCAAACCCACAGCGGTCCCTGGGCCCCAACGCCAGGCAGCAAGGACTGCAGCGTGCCTACCTGTGCAGCTGCAACCCAGCGTGCGGGAGGGCTGTCGCCTCGCCCCCACTTGCTCTTAATGACCCAGTGATGGGAAAAGGGACCCAGCCCTCAAAGGCAGGGCTGACAGCTGAGCGCTCTCAACCACGCACCCAAATTAGAAGCTGCTGGGTCGGCAGAAAGGCTAAAGGGAGGCGCCCGAGGGCTGAGGTTACCGTCCTCCAGAACAGGTCTGGCCACGGCGGAGCGCGCCACGGCGTGCCCGGGCAGGCTAGTGCCAGCCTGCAGGCCCCGCGGCGCTGGTGCCTCCGACAAGTATTTGCTGAGCGCCTACTGCGTACTAGGCGCCGCCGAGGGGAGGGCAGACCCGGGCAGCGCCCCGCACCCCCGGCGGGGAACCGGGGGCATCTTTCAGCCACAGAAAGCTGGAGAAGACAGAGGAGCTCCTGGGAAGCAGGGACTGAGCGACAGGAAGGGGCCGAGAAGCGGCGCGGGAGACCCGGAGAGGGAAAAGGCACTGGGGCTGAGGCCCCCGGCCTGGTCCGCGACCTGTGATGCTGAATCGGGGGTGCCCGGGCGTGCCGTGGCCGCGGCCGCCTCCTCCCAGACGCCCCCGGGTGTGAGGGCGCCGGGCCCGAGGCTCCCGGGTACGCCGGCGTGGGGACCGTGCCCAGCGCGAGGCCACGGGTGGGGCCCGGATTCCCGCAGGCCCCAGGGAGGAAGGGGCCCCCGCCCGCCGCAGCCCCCGACGCCCGCTCACCTGTGCCCGCGGGCCCCGCCCGGCCCCACCCACCCGCCGCCGCCGCCGCCGCCGCCGCTTACGCCCGCCGGCCCCGCGCCCCCGGCCCGCGCCGCGCGTATTGCTGCCGCCTGGGGGCGAGGAGGGCGCGCGGCCCGGCCGATCCCTGCCCGCACTCACCGTTCACAGGCGCGACTGCCCCCGGGGCCAGGGCCGGGGCCGAGGCCGGGGCGGGGCGGGGGCGGGGGCGCGCGGTTCGCCCCGCGCATGGGCTCCGTCCGCGGCGGGTGCGGCTCGGGTTGCGGGCGCAGGGCACGGGCGGCGGAGACTCGGGCGGGCCTGCGCACGCCCCGCCCCGCGCCCGTCCGTCTGCCAGGCGCGGCCTACCATTGGCTGCGCGCCATCGGGCCCCGCCCCACCCCGGTTGGCTGAGCGGCCCGTCTGTCAGGAGCCGCGGTCGGGCGGGGCTTCCGGGAGCAACGCGGGAGGCGGAGCCAGTAGGGCCGCGGCCTCTCGGGGTTGGGCTTGGCTGGAGACCGGAGCCGAGCTCGGGGTTGCTCGAGGAAGGCCAGGGAGCCGGTGTCTGGGGGCCCGGGGCGGCATCTCCGAGCAGGGCCCCGGGCTCTCCCGGGAACAGGCCGGCGAGAGAACCCGACTCAGCGGTGCCGGTGCACCAGAGGCCCTCCCTGCGCCGGCAGCGCGGCGCCGCCCACCGCGGAGGTCCCGGGGCTACGGGCTGGGGAAAGGCTGGGATCCGCCGGGACCAAGGCGGGATGCTCGGAGCTGGGGGCCCCCGGGTGGCCGCGGGGTCCGGTTGCCCGGCTGCCCTTCCGCGCAGGTGGAGCGGCCGCGCACCCCACCTACCACCACGCACCCCAGCTCCCCTACTCCCACCGCAACCCACCCCGAGGACGCTTGCAGCCCCGGTGGGGTTCCGGGCGGCGGGCGCAGCCGTGTGCCCTGGGGCCAGGCGTGAGAACGCCCCCTCCACCACTCTCCTCTTTCTCGGGCCTGCGTGGCAGGCGACCCTGCCCGCCCAGTCCCCCCAAACTTGAGGTTCCAACGCTGCAGAAGCTCAGCGTGGTCCAGTTAAACCGTACCCACAAGTTGCCACAGGGGAGCGAAGTGCCCAGGGCTCACCCCAAGCACATAGACGCACATCCTAGCTCTTTCAAACCCAAAAAGACATGTTTTTAACATTTTTTAAAATTGCAAAGGAATCAGAAATACATCCTCATTAAAAAACAAAAAGGGCCGGGCGCGGTGGCTCACGCCTATAATCCCAGCACTTCGGGAGGCCTAAGCGGGTGGATTACTTGAGGTCAGGAGTTCAAGACCAGCCTGGCCAACATGATGAAACCCTGTCTCTACTAAAAACACAAAAAATTAGTCGGCTGCAGTGGCGCGCGCCTGTAGTCCCAGCTACTCGGGAGGCTGAGGCAGGAGAATCGCTGGAACCCGGGAGGCGGATGTTGCGGTGAGCCGAAATCGCGCCACTGCACTGGGCAACAGAGCGCTACTTCGTCTCAAAACAAAAAAGGCGTTTTACAGTCAGGCAAACCCTGCCTCTGCCCAGTCCAGCGCCCGCCTCGCCCTCCTGCGCCGGTCGCTGCTGACCCGGGGCTCCACCCACGTGCGGTCCCGGGGGTCCCGCCTGCCGTCCGTCCACCGCGCGGTCGCAGTCAGAGCTCGGCTCGGGGCGGACACGCATGAACGCGAGTGAGAAGCGGCGACTGGACGGCGGGCGGCAGCGTGTCCCGCGGGCCGGGCACTCGGGTGCGCTCCGGCGTCCGGTGTGTGTTTCCTGGTCCTCGGGGGCGCTTCCCCCGGTGCTTCCTTTTGCCGTCGGCCTCACTTCCAACCGAAGGTCAGGACGGCAGGCCTCGGCCCCAGGGGCGACCCTTCCACCTGGGAAAGGTGGGCGCGAGCCTCCAGCAGAGACCGCCTTTACCCGCCCCGCGTGGGAAGCGCCAGGATCGCGAGGAAACGCGACACGTGCATCGCGACGGCCCAGGCACGGAGCCGCAGGAAGCTGGCACCTGACGCGCCTGCGCCCACCCAACTCGAGTTGGTGGCGCGTCACCTTCCCCTGGGATCGCCCGCAGCAGGGGCGCCCACGCACGTGCCAGTCCACGTGGCCCCGCCCTAGCGACCGTTGCTAAGGGGCGTGGCTCAGCCGCACGGAACCCGAGCCCCCGGCGACTTATAAATATTTGCGTATTCAAATGAGGCCTGGCTCCCGTTGCTATGGCGCCCAGGCCGCAACCCCGCGGCGGCCGGAAGAACAGCCTGGAGTAGGAGACAGCGCCTGGAGGTGGAGGGCGCCCAGGGCCGAGCTGCCAGGGCCGGACACCTAGGCTGAGCCCTCAGGTGAGAGCCGAGCGCACCCTTGGGGTGGGAGCCGCAAGCCTCGCCCTATGACCGGTGCCAGGAGGGAACCTGCGCCGAGGCGTGGGCGCGGGGACGAAGCAGCACAGCCATCGGGGACCCAGTGATGGCCCCGCATGTCAGATCTGGTCCCCTGAGGACCCTTGCCTCCACCACCCCCTGGCCCTGCACTGAAAGGGCTCCCTGTCAGGAGACAGGAGGGGCCCCAAGCCCTGCCCCTGAGGGAGACTCAGAGGCAATGACCCAGGGTGCTCAGGGTTCCAGGGTGGGGCTCAGGAGGGGAGCGGGCTCTGCCTTCCGAGCCCCCATGGTGAAGGGGCGAGGGCAGCAGGGGACCCAGAGGTGATGGCTACCCACCAGGGAATGGCACTAGCAGGGGTGTGGAGACAGGCCCCCCAGTTACCAATTTGGGGAGCATGGGGGCTTGCAGAGGGGACACAGGGTGGGAGCAGGGCCGTGAAGTGTGTGGATGGGTTCAGGCCTGGGTGAGAACACTAGGTGCAGTGTCTGAGGTGGGAGTTCAATGGGGTCTTTGGATCCCACAGCCTCCAACCCCTTGCACCCCCAGGCCTTGGGGCTCAGACCAGTCTGATGCTTGGGGCTCTTGGGCACAGAGGAGACAAGGGTAGCTGACTCAGCCCTTAGTGTCACCCATAGGTGTCCAGGGGCTGCCCGTGACCCCGCCAGCTCACGCCCTCCATGAGGCTCGAGGCTGGCAGGCCTGGGATGGAGGTGGCCAGAGTCTTTGGGGGGATGCAGTGTTGGGGTCCTGCTGTGAGGCCTGGGGCCTTGCACTGGCTGGAGAAAGGCAGGCAGTGGGGGAGATTTGGGCTGGAAACTCCATGAGATTCTGCTTTGGGCTTCACTTCTTTGATCCTTGGTGCATGGTCACCTTCCAGACCAGGCCAGTGAGGCACCCAGAGCCTGAGCCACTGCCCCGCTCCAACACTCCCACCCACCACCTCTGTCAACAGCCGGCCAACTCGCCTGGCACAGGGGCAGCTCTAGACGGGATGGAGAGGATGCATCTTCAGTGTCCACACGTGGTCAACAGATAAAAGCCATGGCCAGAACGTTCTAAGTGGCTACATGTGCATCTGCCTGTTCACGGATTCCTTCGACAAATATTTGAGCATCCCCTCCTGCGACTGTGGACAGCAGAGGAGCACGCAGGCCACGTGCAGGCCACGTGCAGCCCACAGCTCTGGGGCGAGGCAGGCCCTCAACCGAACACGTAGTAAGACACACAGGGCTCCGAAGGGAACTCGTCTCATCAGGAAGATAAATCTGGGAAGGCTGGGTGGGGAGTGCAGTCAGGGGATCAGTCCAGGTCCAGACTGAAGACACATGAAGGTGGTCAGGGAGGAGGACACTGGACGCTCCGAGCACACTTGTCACTCCACGCCTGGAGCTCATGATTCCAGGGCCTGGGGCCGAGGCAGATGTCTGCATCTTTGTTTGTTTGTTTGTTTTTTGAGATGGAGTCTCTCTCTGTCGCCCAGGCTGGAGTGCAGTGGTGCCATCTTGGCTCACTGCAAGCTCCACCTCCTGGGTTCATGCCATTCCCCAGCCTCAGCCTCCCAAGTAGCTGGGACTACAGGCGTCCGCCACCACGCCTGGCTAACTATGTTTTTTGTATCTTTAGTAGAGATGGGGTTTCACCTCGTTAGCCAGGATGGTCTTGATCTCCTGATCTTGTGATCTGCCCGCCTCAGCCTCCCAAAGTGCTGGGATTACAGGTGTGAGCCACCGCACCCAGCCTTTTTTTTTTTTTTTTTTGAGACAGAGTCTTGCTCTGTTGCCCAGGCTGGAGGACAGTGGCGCGATCTTGTCTCACTGCAAGCTCCGCCTCGCGGGTTCATGGCATTCTCCTGCCTCAGCCTCCCAAGTAGCTGGGACTACAGGCACCTGCCACCACGCCAGCTAATTTTTTTTTTTTTTTTTTTGTATTTTTAGTAGAGACAGGGTTTCACCGTGTTAGCCAGGATGGTCTCAATCTCCTGACCTCGTGATCTGCCCGCCGCGGCCTCCCAAAGTGCTGGGATTACAGGCGTGAGCCACTGCGCCCCGCCAGACGTCTGCATCTTTAAGGGGCAACACCAGGTAAGCCTGATGCACGTAGTCGAGGGACACACTGGGCTTAGGAAGAATGGGATGCAAGAGAGGGACACACTGGGCCAATACCCTCAGAGGCCTGGGGAGGGGCTCAGGAAGAACAGGGTGCAAGAGAGGACCCCTGTGGAGAAGGAGGGAAGTGGGATTTGGATGAGCAGCAGGCATTGTGTTGGGGGACCCAGAGGTACCCCAGCATCGGTCACACACCTGACTCTCTTCCTCCTCGCCAGCTGGGTCCGTGGATAGTCAGGTCCTGGGCTGATCTGCTCACCTCTAGGTGCTGTGACCTCAGCCTGGCCCATTCCAGGCTCCCATGGGCACAGTAACCTGGCCAGGAAGCCACTCTGACTCTTGCAGGTACTGCCTGAGGGTACATGCCACCTCCTTGCCTGGATGTTTGACCCACAGCAGGAGAGGGCAGCTGCCTGCAGGTGAAGGGGCTCGGCTGGCACAGGGCTGGGGTAGGGGAAGGCCTGGGACTTGATCCTGGACCCCAGGCTCAGAGACCATCAGGTGGAGAAGGACCCATAGCCCACAGCTTGAGGCAGTGCCGGGAGCCCCACAGCCACCGGCAGCTGGCCCGGCACCCCAGGCTCACAGCCCCTGTGGGCCTCAGGTGGGGAGGCCTGAAGCCAGCACTCCCTGCATGGACCCTGAGGATGGGCAGAAACACAGGGAGGGTGTCCTACGAAGCAGAGGGGGTCGAGCCAAGGCTGGGGGAGGGGAGCGTGAGGCCCTCCAGGCTGGAACTAAGCAGACAAGGGCCCCATGAGGCCCAGCCAAGCTAGGAGCCTTCTCTAGGCTCGGGGTGGGGGTGGGTGCCAAGGGCTTGCTGTGACGGGGGCGGGGGGTTGAGGGCTGGGCCAGGGTCTCAGCCGGGCTGCAGAGGAGGAGGAGCAACAGCGTGGAGCTTTGCACTGTGCCTCTGTCAGCAGGTGACATGTGAATGGATCTGGGCTGGGACAGATCCCGTGGGCCTCGGCGGAGCACCTCCAGCGTCCGGGTGCGGGAGCTGAGCTGGCAAGGCCTGCACAACCCCTGCCCACAGAGCAAGGGCCCTGGCAGTCAGAGGGACAGACTTGGAGAGCAGCTGGTGGAAGAGTACCTGTCCCCTGCCCGGCTGGTGAGTGTGGGCGCTGGGGGCTGTGGCCACAGAGGCCTCCGTGGGGTGACATCCCAGGGCTCCTTCCTGCTGATGGTCCAGCCTGCCCTCTGTCCCCCTCCTGCTGGTCTTGCCTGCTGATGGTTGGCCTCAGCCCAGCCCCTGCAGCTGGGTCTGCTCCACCCACTCTGCCCTTGGGACCCCTACCAGGCCCCAAAACACCAGCAACACCAGGTGCTCAGTGACACAGACGTCCCCAGGCATTTGGGTCACAGACAGGACTGAGCCAGGCCAGAACCCACAAGTAGGGGCTGAGCATCCATTATCCTCCAACCAAAGAGGGGGGTCCTTCACTCAAGCGGGAGACCAGATGGCTCAAAGCTCAGGGCAGGGCCCGGCGCGGTCCGGGCTCTGGGTGCCGGGTGTGGTGTGTCTGCCCTGGGAGTCTCTCTGGAGACGGGCAGCCCCCAGGGCAGGTCCTTCTCCCGCAATGACCCCCCAGCCAAGTGCAGCACAAGCTCTGCTCCTGTCACATCCACTCCCATCCCACCACCCAGGCCAGGGCCAACATGGCCCAGGCAGGGAAACGTCGGTGCCTGCTCCAGCGGGAGCCCCAGAGTCCTGTAGCCAGAAGCAAGGATGGAACTAAAGTGGGGAGAGCCAGGACCAGCGCTGACCCCCGGTTGGTTTCTACAGCAGGCCCTGGCCCGGGTGGATGACCTTCGGCTGGTGAGGACGCTGGAGATGTGTGTGGACACTCGTGAGGGCAGCCTGGGGAACTTTGGTGAGCCTCTTCCCACCCCGCCATGGCCACGGCCACGGCCACGCCTCCCTGTAAACAACACACGTTTCCTGGTTATGACGACAAAGCTGTCCTCACCTCTCGGGCCGCGTATCGGCTTCCTTAGGGTTGGCCTCTGACCTGAGGTCTGTGTCAGGTACAGGCAGAGGGCAATGCACTCAGCACCCCGCACACCACACCAGTACCCCCAGCACGCTCAGTACCCCACACACCCACACCAGTACCCCCAGCACGCTCAGTACCCCACACACCCACGCCAGTACCCCCGGCACGCTCAGTACCCCACACACCCACGCCAGTACCCCCGGCACGCTCAGTACCCCACACACCCACGCCAGTACCCCCGGCACGCTCAGTACCCCACACACCCACGCCAGTACCCCCGGCACGCTCAGTACCCCACACACCCACGCCAGTACCCCCGGCACGCTCAGTACCCCACACACCCACGCCAGTACCCCCGGCACGCTCAGTACCCCACACACCCACGCCAGTACCCCCGGCACGCTCAGTGCCCCACACACCCACGCCAGTACCCCCGGCACGCTCAGTGCCCCACACACCCACGCCAGTACCCCCGGCACGCTCAGTGCCCCACACACCCACGCCAGCATCACAGAGGAACAAAGGCCAAAATGGTGCTGAGTGCCACTTGGTGTCTCCTGAAACTCATCTTGAAATAATCTCAGCCAGGCACAGGGGCCACGCCTGTAATCCCAGCACCGTGGGAGTCCAAGGTGGATGGATCACTTGAGCCCAGGAGTTTGAGATCAGCTTGGGCAACATAGCAAGACCCCTGTGTCTAAAAATAAAAAATTAGACAGGCATGATGGCACCTGTAGTCACAGCTACTCATAGGAGGTGGGGAGGTCAAGCTGCAGTGAGCTGAGATTGCACCGCTGCACTCCAGACTGGGCGACAGAGCAAAACCCTGTCGCAAAAAAAAAAAAAAAAAAAAAAACACTCCCTCCCCGCCCTCCGCCAGGTTCCTTCTCTTTCGCCGTGTTCACGGTGGTGCTGGCCCCTGCTCCCTCCCGTGCGTGCACAGCGCGTCAGGCCACTGTTCTTTTTCCTGAACTAGTTGAGAGTTGGACATGCAACACCCCTTTATCTACTGACACTTCAGTGTGTATTTCCTGAGAGGGAGGACATTCCCTTAAATGCAGTGCGATGGCCAAAGTCAGGAATTACACCTGTACATGACTCTTAGCCATGCTGAAGACCATATTCAAATGTCACCAGCTGTCCCAACAGTGACTTTTTTTTTTTTGAGATGGAGTCTCATTCTGTCGCCCAGGCTGGAGTGCAGTGGCGCAATCTCAGCTCACTGCAACCTCTGCCTCCCAGGTTGAATTTTCCTACCTCAGCCTCCCGAGTAGCTGAGATTACAGGCACTCACCACCACGCCCAGCTGATTTCTGTATTTTTAGTAGAGACGGGGTTTCACCATGTTGGCCAGGCTGGTCTTGAACTCCTGACCTCAAGTGATCCACCCACCTCAGCCTCCCAAAGTGCTGGGATTACAGGATTACAGGGATGAGCCACCGCGCCTGGCCTGTTTTTTGTTTTTTTCATTGTTGTTTTTTTTAAGACAGAGTCTCTCTCTTGTTGCCCAGGCTGGAGTGCAGTGGTGCAATCTTGGCTCACTGCAACCTCAGCCTCTTGAATTCAAGCAATTCTCCTGCCTCAGCCTCCTGAGTAGCTGGGATTACAGGTGTGTGCCACCACGCCCGAGTAATTTTTGTATTTTTAGTACAGATGGGGTGTCACCATGTTGGCCAGGCTGGTCTTGAACTCCTGACCTCAGGTGATCCACCCGCCTCGGCCTCCCAAAGTGCTGAGATTATAGGTGTGAGCCACCACGCCAGGCCCCACAGTGACCTTTAGAGCAGGGAAGCGTCTTCCCACCCAGGATCACTGGTTGTCTGCATTTCTCCAACTGACTGAGGTGAACCAGGCCCATCTTGATTGGTCTTGTATTGTTTTGCAATGGCCTGTGAAGTCCCTGACCATTGTGTGTGGCTAACCCGCAGCCATCTGCACTCACTCGAGCCCTTCCCACAGGCATGGTCTTGGAGCGCCTGTACCCACACACTCTGCGCCCCTTCTTTTATTTTTTTTTTGAGACGGAGTCTCGCTCTGTCACCCAGGCTGGAGTGCAGTGGCGCAATCTCGGCTCACTGCAAGCTCCACCTCCCGGGTTCACGCCATTCTCCTGCCTCAGCCTCCCGTGTAGCTGGGACTACAGGCGCCCGCCACCATACCCGGCTAATTTTTTGTATTTTTAGTAGAGACGGGGTTTCACCGTGTTAACCAGGATGGTCTCGATCTACTGACCTAGTGATCCACCCACCTCAGCCTCCCAAAGTGCTGGGATTACAGGCGTGAGCCACCGCACCCAGCCACTCTGCAACCCTTCTCACAATGCAGGGATTCTGTCTGCCTCACAGGGGCATATGCCCCATCCTACAAAAGACTCCGAACGCAGAGCCTTTTCCTGGGGCCTTGGGCTGTGCAGAAACACAGGCTGGGGCGTGCAGTGATCTGGTCCTGTGTTGTGTGTGGGACTGTGCATGACGGTCTGAGATGCCAGGGGAGGGGTGTGGAGGCAGCTTGGGGGTGGGGCCCAGACTTTGAGCCAAGGGAGCACCACCCAGCCACGCCAGCCTGGCCCCAGTTCTCTGAGCCAACTCTTGGAGCCCAGTGGCCTCCTGCAGTCCATAGACAATGGTCTGAGCTTCCCTGCTGTGTGGACACCCCTCCATGCTGTGCTGCATTCAGGCTGGCTACAGACGAGGGGCGCGGAGCCGTGAGGCTTTGGGGGCTCAGGGCCACTGAGCCAGACCCTCTACCAGGCCCCATAGAATCAGCAGACCCCTTTGGTGGCCAGAGGAGCCCGCAGCCCTGGAGCAGTTCCTGGGTGCCACGTAACCCCTCCTGTGGTGTGGAGGGAGGCTTGTGAGGCTGGCCCACGAGCAGTGAGGGGCCGGGGGTGCTGATGCCTAGGGGTGAAGGAGGGTGCAGAGGTGGGCGGGGTGAGGGGCCGGGCCAACCTCCTCCTCCTGTGGCCATACAGGGGTGCACCTGCCCAACCTGGACCAACTGAAGCTGAACGGCAGCCACCTGGGCTCCCTGAGGTGAGCGCCTGAGGGGGGTGGGCTGGGGCCCTGCCATGAGGGGGTCCGATGGGACAGGCCCTGCAGGGATGGGGGGAGAACTTGGTGGGAGTGGGGGGACTTGGGCTGGGACCAGGGACCCAGGGGTCTAGAGAGCTCCATCCTGCTGGCTGCCTGACCCCACGTGACCCTGTGGAGGGTGGATGGGCAGGTGGGGGGAGCCTGGGACATTCAGGCAGGTGTGAGGGGGTCTCTGAGAGGGTCTTTGTTGAAAGGACGAGGTCCTGGGCCAGCCTGACTCCCGGGGGTCCTGCCTATGCCCTGTGGTCTCTGGCTCAGCCCAGATGTACCCCCACTTGCCGTGTGACCCCTACACATGGAGCTCTTGTGTCTGCAATGGGTGGGAGCCCCTGCTGCAGGTAGCACCTCACTCAGAGCTGGGGCCAGGGCCAAGGCAGTCATGCCAGGTCGTGTGGCCAGCAAACTCCACAAAGGTGCCCCTGACCTGGGCCCAGAGCTCCCACCTTGAGGTGTCCCTGGTGAACACCCCAAAGCCAACCAAGGACTGGGGGCCTTCTGGCCCCCGCACGGCTCATTGCAGCCCAGGACTTTGGCTGCACCATGAGGCCACGAGCTTGGGGTTTGGGCAAGAACGGCAACCACCAGCCAGAACCTGCACGTAGAACCCAGACCAGACGGCAGCCCCTGGGAGAGGCACAGCCAGAGCCTGTGTAAAGAACCCAGACCAGACGGCAGCCCCCGGGAGAGGCACAGCAGAGCCTGTGTACAGAACCCGGACCAGACGGCAGCTCCCGGGAGAGGCACAGCAGAGCCTGTGTACAGAACCCGGACCAGCTCCCAGGAGAAGCACAGGAAGCTCCGTGCCCCACAGCAACTCACAACATTCGGAGCTGAAGACGTTGGCGGCTCTCACGTCATCGGAAGGGAAAGAACAAGGCTGAAGGAACATCCGACTTTATTCTGGGGGTTTGGGCAAAGTGGGTTTTGTGAAAACGCTGCTGGTTTTATGTAGCCTGTTCCCAGCAGCATAAGGCAGGGGAATTCCAGGCAGAATTCTAGAACATTCTCCAGCTGTGTGAATTGGGCTCCAAGGGCCACATCTAGTTATTTCCAGATGAGGATAAGGGTATTCATTAAGCAACCTCTCTTTGAATGTTTTCTTGATTTTCCTTATTTGTACTTCTGTTTATCAAACAAATATCAAAATGGGCCGGGCACGGTGTCTCACGCCTATAATCCCAGAACTTTGGGAGGCCGAGGTGGGCAGATCACCTGAGGTCAGGAGTTCGAGACCAGCCTGACCAACATGGAGAAATCCCATCTCTACTAAAAATACAAAATTAGCCGTGCATGGTGGCACATGCCTGTAACCCCAGCTGCTCAGGAGGCTGAGGCAGGAGAGTCGCTGCAGTGAGCCGGGAGGCAGATGCTGCAGTGAGCTGAGATCACACCACTACACTCCAGCCGGGGCAACAGAGCGAAACTCTGCCTCAAAAAAATAAAGTAGGCCAGGCACAGTGGTTCACGCCTGTAATCCCAGTACTTTGGGAGGCCAAGGTAGGCAGATCACGAGGTCAGGAGATTGAGACCATACTGACTAACATGGTGAAACCCCGTCTCTACTAAAAATACAAAAAATTAGCCGGGCGTGGTGGTGGGCGCCTGTAGTCCCAGCTACTCGGGAGGCTGAGGCAGGAAAATGGCGTGAACCCAGGAGGCGGAGCTTGCAGTGAGCCAAGATCGCACCACTAAACTCCAGCCTGGGCGACTGAGTGAGACTTCGTCTCAAAAAAAAAAAAATACATGAAGATCTGGAAATGGAAGAAAGTTGGAAAACACTTTGGGGTCAAAGACACAGTGGGCAGCCCACAGAACTGGAACAGAGAGGGGCCTGGACATGAAGTCAGGCCTGCAGCAGGCACCCAGACGACACCGCGAACGAGAAACTAGGATGGGTTTGGAAAATGGACTTCTTAGAAACATGTCTCCCAGCCAGGCGGGTTGGCTCACACCTGTAATCCCAACACTTTGGGAGGCCAAGGCAGGCGGATCACGAGGTCAGGAGTTCAAGATCCGCCTGGCTAACGTGGTGAAAACCCATCTCTACTAAAAATACAAAAAAAAAAAGAAATAGCCAGGCATGGTGTGCGCTTGTAATCCCAGCTACACAGGAGGCAGAGGCAGGAGAATTGCTTGAACCCAGGAGGCGGAGGTTGCAGTAAGCCAAGATTGCTCCATTGCACTCCAGCCTAGGCAACAAGAGCAAAACTCCATCTCAAAAAAAAAAAAATTAGCTGGGCTTGGGCTTGGGCTTGGCGGTGCATGCCTGTAATGCCAGCTGCACAGGAGGCTGAGGCATGAGAATCACTTGGACCTGGGAGGTGGAGGTTGCAGTGAGCTGAGATCGCGCCACTGCACTCCAGCCTGGGTGACAGAGCAAGACTCCGTCTCAAAAAACCGTAAAAAACAAAAACAAAGAACAAAAAAAGTGCCCCTAATACAAGAGTAAATGATATTCTAATGGAGATGGCTGTACTTTTTTTTTTAGCTTAACAAATAAGCCTCTATTATTTTGTGTTTTTTTTTGTTTTGAGACAGAGTCTCACTCCGTTGCCCAGGCTGGAGTGCAGTGGCGCAATCTCGGCTCACTGCAATCTCGCCTCCCGGGTTCACGCCATTCCCCTGCCTCAGCCTCCCGAGTAGCTGGGACTACAGGCGCCTGCCACCACGCCCGGCTAATTTTTTGTATTTTTAGTAGAGACGAGGTTTCACCACGTTGGCCAGGATGGTCTCGATCTCCTGACCTCATGATCTGCCCGCCTCGGCCTCCCAAAATGCTGGGATTACAGGCGTGAGCCACCACGCCCGGCCAGAAGCCTCTATTGTTAAGACCAACAAATTAGCTCTAAGAACAACAAAAAAATATAAAAAGCACATAAATACACAAAATATAAAAGAGCAGTGGAAGGTACTATAAAATTAAATATGATGCACTACCTGTAACAAAACAAAATAGTTCCAAAGGAAAAATGACTAGGTCATAAATTGTATAAAAAATATATTCAGGCCAGGTGCGGTGGCTCACACCTGTAATCCCAGCACTTTGGGAGGCCAAGGCGAGTGGAACATGAGGTCAGCAGTTCAAGACCAGCCTGGCCAAGATGGTGAAACCCCGTATCTACTAAAAATACAAAAATTAGCCGGGTGTGGTGGCGGGCACCTGTAATCACAGCTACTCGGGAGGCTGAGGCAGGAGAATTGCTTGAACCTGGGAGGCAGAGGTTGCAGTGAGCCAAGATCGTGCCACTGCACTCCAGCCTGAGTGACAGAGACTCCATCTCAAAAAAAAAATTAAAAATTAAAAAATTTCAAAGGAACTTGTCATAAATAAAAGACTGAAAGGAAAAACAAACTGAATTATTGGCACTGAAACATATCCTAATAAAGTTACTGGCATGAAGATAAAGGTAAAAAGTTGGAGCAGCCAAGAAAAGAGATTGACTTGTCTTTTTTTCTTTGAGACAGGGTCTCACTCTGTCGCCCAGGCTGGAGTGCAGTGGTGCGACCATGGCTTACAATAGCCTCGACCTCCTGGGCTCAGGTGCTCCTCCCACCTCAGCCTCCTGAAGTGCCAGGATTACAGGCATGAAGCACTGTGCTCAGCCTCAAGTTTTGTTTGTTTGTTTGTTTGTTTGGAGACGGAGGCTCGCTCTGTCATCCAGGCTGGAGTGCAGTGGCGCAATCTCAGCTCACTGCAACCTCCACCTCCCCGGTTCAAGCGATTCTCCTGCCTCAGCCTCCCAAAGTGCTGGGACTACAGGCGCGCGCCACCACGCCTGGCTAATTTTTTTGTATTTTTAGTAGAGATGGGGTTTCACCGTGTTAACCAGGACGGTCTAGATCTCCTGACCTCGTGATCTGCCTGCCTCGGCCTCCCAAAGTGCTGGGATGACAGGCGTGAACCACCGCGCCCGGCCTCAAGTGGTTTTTTAAGGACAGAAATAACGAAGTGCTCCTTAGACGTCGCCACAGTGGACACTGGAACGAAAGGCTTTGCAGCCTCCTGGGAAGAGGCGTGAACTGAGAGTCTGACACCCAGCCTAATGGCTGCATAAGCTCACAGCCAGCAAACATCTGTGAGTCAGAGATCAAGGGGTTTCCATTAGCTGCTCTTGAAGAAATCACTAGACACAAATCCCAGCCAATTCAGAGCGGAGTGGAAAAGCCATTGAAGGCAGCAGGCTGAGGACAGACACTGACTCCACAGCGCGAAAGGACGGACCACCGGGAATGCACCTGAGGGCCCACAGAAGGAAGCTGAAAACACAGTGGGCGGAAGGAAGCCCAGGTGAGTCACAGCCTACGGGTGCCGTGAACTGGACAGAAAGAAGATTTCCGAAGAAATCACCCAGCCCTGGAGGAATCTGTGGCTCCTCAGGGAAAGCCTGTGAGCTCAGGTGGCCCTTTCACAAGGAGAGGTGCAGAGATGGCGTAGCAGCGCTGAAGGGACGGCCTCCCAGCCGAGAGGGGCAGGTGCAGGGTCCCTGGGGACAGCGCATGGTGAAGTCACTGTGGCTACAGTGGGAACAGGGTGGGCCCGGCAGGAAGCAACCTGTCCCTGCACACATCAAGCCGCCCTGACCCACCGCCACCTCCAGCAGCTGGTCCCCACCAAAGCTGCCAGCTCAGCACGGGGTCAGCCTCCAGCGAAGCCCCCCACATCGGTGTCCAGGGGCTCAGGCTCCCAGGCAGCACTCCAGACCCTTACTCCAAATTCGAGTGCCCCAAACGCTACTGAGGAGACAATTAGAAAGAGAAAGGTGATGCCTGCAGCCTGCCAGGGAGGGGACTGAGCCACCCACTATGAGGGCAGCGCCTTGGGCACAGCTGAGCCACCGGTCACGAGGGCAGCTCCCCAAGCCAGGCCCTCCAGGGCTTGGAGAAGGTGGGGGACACTGTACCCACACCAGAGCCAGAAGGCCAAGGCAGAGAGCCCCTTCCTCAGTCTAGAGGCCACCATAGGTGGTCACACCTGCCCCTACCCCTGAAGACAGCCAAAGGCAGGTGGTGGCTGAGCACAGGGCTGGGCACATGTTGACCACCAAACCCTGCCTTCTGCAGGGACTTGGGCACGTCTCTGGGCCACCTGCAGGTGCTGTGGCTGGCTCGCTGTGGCCTTGCTGACCTGGATGGCATCGCCTCTTTGCCAGCACTTAAGGTGAGTCTGGGCACCCTGGGCTGGGGAGGGCTGGGCTGGGCCGGGCCCTGGCTCAGAGCCCCGCGCTGCCCAGGAACTCTACGCCTCCTACAACAACATCTCGGACCTGAGCCCACTGTGCCTGCTGGAACAATTGGAGGTGCTGGACCTGGAGGGCAACAGCGTGGAGGACCTGGGGCAGGTGCGCTACTTGCAGCTGTGCCCACGCCTGGCCATGCTCACCCTGGAGGGCAACCTGGTGTGCCTACAGCCGGCCCCTGGCCCCACCAACAAGGTGCGTGTCCCGGGCACCCGGCCAGCATGTGCATGGCCAGGAGAGGCTCCCTGTGGCTCCAGCCCCGGGGCCCCTCCTCTGGCCAGGTACTTCTGTGCCCACCCGCACCCTATGGCCTGCTCACCATGAGTTCACCTCCTCTGTCACTGGAAGTCTGACGGCTCCCAGGACACCCTCCTGGACCAGCCCCGCTAGATCCCACAGGGTCACCTGCACACACGCCATGTCCCTTAACCCACATATGCACCTGTGAGGTCCACACATAAGCCACGTGGAAACACAAAGAACCACGTGTACACGGATGTGTGCACACACACACCTGTGTACGCCCTGTCCAGAGCCACCTCCAGCCCCACAGGCCCCACAGACCACCCTATGCAGTATCTCGGGGCTCTGCGTGCCCTGCTCAGAGCTGGCACACCTGTGCGTGCAGGCCCTGGCGTAGCTCACAGACCCTACACAGGGCACATCTGCCCTGAGCTCACAGTGCTAGCCTCATTAGCTGCTGCTTGGTGCTGCCACATGCTGAGGTCAGCGTCTACCAGTGCCCAGTAGCTACTGCTCCGTGGGCCAGAGCCCTGAGCTGAGGGCAGTTCCATGGGCCAGAGGGCATCCCTGGACCCGGCCTTGGGTCTGGAGAGTGGGGTCCTACATCCTGAGCAGGTGAGAGCCCAGTCCCTCAGTCCCTGGGGTGTGAGAGTGACCCAAGCCCACCCCTGCAGGGTAGGCAGCATCCCCACCTCTGGGCCCCTGCCCTGCCCCACGGTGGGTCTGGGAAAGGGAGCCAGGGAAAGAGCTGGCCGGAAGGAAACACTGGACCCAGACCTGCCCTCCCTCCCCCTCCCCCTCCCCCTGCAGGTGCCCAGGGGCTACAACTACAGGGCAGAGGTGAGGAAGCTCATTCCCCAGCTGCAGGTCCTGGACGAAGTGCCGGCCGCACACACAGGCCCACCGGCCCCCCCGCGGCTGAGCCAGGACTGGCTTGCGGTGAAGGAGGCCATCAAGAAGGGCAACGGCCTTCCCCCGCTGGGTACGGCAGCTGCGCCCGGAGGACCCACTGCTGAGCCCCAGCTCCCCCCAGGAAGAGGCCCCCACCCCAGGCTTCTCAGAAACGGATAGCCACATCTCATGCACTTCTCCAGCCTTGACCCCGGTCCCCAGAGCTGTGCACACCCGGCCCCAGGCCAGGACACTGTCTCTGAGCAGCCCACAGAGGGAGAGGAAGGTCTGAAGATGAGGGCCTCTCTAGAAGGCTGCAGCGTGAGAGGCCAGCCTCAGGCCATGCAGCATGGGGATTGGGGCCCCTGGTCTGTGGACAGAGTCTGGGGGGCGCTCTCAGGCTGGGCCTTGGTGACCTCTGCTTCTGAACCTCGGGCAGACTGTCCCCGTGGAGCCCCCATCCGGAGACTTGACCCCGAGCTGTCCCTGCCTGAGACGCAGTCCCGGGCCTCCAGGCCCTGGCCCTTCTCCCTGCTGGTCCATGGGGGCCCCCTGCCTGAAGGCCTGCTTTCTGAGGACCTGGCCCCAGAAGATAACACCAGCAGCCTCACCCATGGTAACTGACTTGCCTCAAAGCTGACCCTGCAGCCCCTCGGCCCCGAACCAGGCCCAGCCATGCTGTCTCTTGCAGGTGCTGGCCAAGTCCTCTGTGGGAACCCCACCAAGGGCCTGCGGGAGCGTAGGCACCAGTGCCAGGTACAGCCCACAGGGACCAGCCCCCCACGAGAACCAGTGTCCAGGGTTGCGGCCCTGACAGTGCCCTGCCCTGCCGCCATTCCAGGGCCAGAATCCCTAAAGCAGTCCCTTTTCCTCCCCAGGCCAGGGAGCCCCCCGAGCAGCTGCCCCAACACAGGCCAGGAGATCCGGCCGCCAGCACTTCCACCCCAGAGCCTGACCCTGCAGACAGCTCTGACTTCCTGGCCTTGGCTGGGCTCAGGGCCTGGAGGGAACATGGCGTGCGGTGGGTGTCCCTCCAGCTCTTCCACTGGGTGTGTCCTGTCCCGTGGGGAAATCAGGGCTGGGGCTACCTTGGCTGAGTCATCCCCAGTCCCAAGGCTCGTGGACCATCCCTGCATGTCCTGTCCCGTGGGGGGATCAGGGCTGGGGCTACCTTGGCTGAGTCATCGCTGGTCCCAAGGCTCGTGGACCATCCCTGTGTGTCCTGTCCCGTGGGGGGATCAGGGCTGGGGCTACCTTGGCTGAGTCATCCCCAGTCCCAAGGCTCATGGACCATCCCTATGTGTCCTGTCCCGTGGGGGGATCAGGGCTGGAGCTCCTCCTCCTCTCCCCACCCTAGCCCCCTCCCCTATAGGCACCCGGAGTCCCAACAGGAAGGGGCTGTAGCCCCCTGGGGCCCACGGAGGGTCCCTGAAGAGCAAGTGCACCAGGCAGAGCCCAAGACTCCCTCCAGCCCCCCAAGCCTGGCCTCAGGTACTGAGCCTGCCCGCCTGCCCCCCAGTGCCTGGGAGTGACCAACACCCCACCTCTATAGGGGGGCCCTTACCCCAGATCAGACCTGTCAACCTGGCCCTGCTTCCTCAGCCATGCTCTGAGAGGGACTGTAACAGGGAGGCCCCCTTCTGGGGGTGGGGGGCTCACGACCGAGGGAGGCCCAACCCAAGTCCTCTCCCAAGCCACGGTCCAATCCCTGTGACCTTGTGTGCCACCCGGGCTGGACGAAAGAGAGGCGTTCCACAAAAGGGGGTATGAACAGAGTCCAGAGGAGTCGGGACAGAAAGAAGGAGCCACCCCAGGGCACCAGCAGGCAGAACATGGCCACTGGGCAGCTTTCAGGGACACAGGCATGAGTCCGGGGGCTGGGAGGAAAGGCGGCCAGCAGCCCCACTGGGAGACCAAGGCAGGAGGGTGCTGCCGCTTCACCCTGAAGATGGCACGCGCACTTGGGGACATAGAATTAAGCCATGCAGTGCCCTTTACGAAGGACACTGACTTCAGTGTGATCACAGCTGCAAAGCAGAGAGGACCCTCCCTCAGCGGGCAGGCAGGCCGGGCAGGGGGCAGTGTAAGCAGGGGCGACCCCACGGTGGGCAGCTGACCCTCCTCTGTGCAGGAGCCTGGTTAAGGGGGCTGGGATGGGCAGGGAACAGGGCAGGCCAAGCCTCTGCTCTTCCATATGGTGGTGGGTGTCTGTGGAGGGGGCAGACAGAGGGGTCAACAGCTGGTTACCTAGTGGCCGTGACCTGCAGGGGTGGAGGGAGGGCAGGCAGGGCGGCCAGGAGGAGGGGAGCTGCAGTGGCCTCGGGGCAGGGTCAGGACAAAGGCATGCCAGGGCTCCAGACACCGGTGGAGGCGGGTGCTGGGGGACCCAAGGCTTGGGAACCGGCCCGGGGCGGTCAGCCAGTGAACAGGCTCTCAGGGTCAGGACACAGATGACCGAGGGTCAGAGCCAGGCCTTGTGGTCTCCTTCTCAGGGACAGGACACAGAGGACCCAGGGCCAGAACCAGGCTTCGTGGCCTCCTTGCCTGCCCCAGAGGTGGGCCCGCCCATGCGAGTCAGGGGTCACAGGGCTGGGAACACAGAAAGTGGGGTGCAGGGGTGCTGCTGCCTGTGGACCCCCAAGGACCACTGCCTCAGGGCTGCAGGGCCACGGGTGGGCTGTGGCCTCCCCACCGGGTGACTCCCTTCCCTGACAGCCTTTCTGACGTCCCATCACTCTGCTTGCTTTCTAGAGCCCTCCGGGACCTCGAGCCAGCACCTGGTCCCTTCACCTCCCAAGCACCCAAGGCCACGAGATTCTGGCAGCAGCTCCCCGCGGTGGTCGACAGACCTGCAGTCCAGGGGGCGTCGGCTCCGAGTCCTGGGCAGCTGGGGGCCTGGCCTGGGTGATGGGGTGGCTGCAGTGCCTGTCCTGAGAGCCCTGGAGGTGGCCTCAGGCCTGAGCCCTCGAGCCCAGGGATGTCCTGGCCCAAAGCCAGCACCACATGCAGCAGCTAGACCTCCCAGGGCAGCTGAACTCTCTCACCCCAGCCCCGTCCCCACTTAATATAGCCCCCACTGCCAGGCTTGCCTGTGCTGGGGCCACGACTTGCCCACATATGTGGTCACAGAGCACAGAATACCTGGGCGGGTGTGTTGGGGGGTGGAAGGAGTGCCTGGCCCTGGGGAGGACCCTCTTGGTGGAGGGGAGTGGGGGACTGGGACCAGCCAGGGAGGCAGCAGAGGCTGGAACCCAGTTTAGGCCCCCAACTGGGTTTGGCCTGGGGAGGGAGGGTCCGGCTCCCCAGCCCTTCCTTAGGGCCAGGCTTTCCCGCGGGCACGGGGGTGGGGGGTGGTCACCCGAGCAGGCCTGTGAGAGGCCTCTCCTGCTAGAATTGGGCATGGCCGAGGGGCAGGGGCTGGAGCTGCGAGTCCACCACTCCCTTGCCAGCCCCAGGGTAAGAGCCACCTCCTAGGCCGCAGTGGCCCAAGGTCCCAGCTGCTCGCCTGAGGCCGCCGGGGGTGCGGTCCAGGCCTCCCGTCTCCGGGGGATCTGTAGGGTTCCCGCACTGCGATAGGGCGGCCCGTCCCCTCCTCTTGGCGCAGGACGCCCCGGAACCCAAACCAACATTTCCAGCTCTCAGGTGTACAGAAATGCGGTTTACTTTGTAGGCCACGTTGGTTCAATAAATGATGCAGCGGACACAGCCCGCCCAGCCCCGGCGCCCGCCCGCGCCCTCCCTCGCGGTCCCGGCCCCACTCCTCCGCCCCTAGGCGCCGCGGCAGGTGTCCGCGGTGACCGGCAGGCAGCTGAGGAAGCGGAAGCCGAATCTGCTCTCCGCCGTGTTCTGCACCGACAGGGCCACCAGGGGGCAGCTACGGTCCACGCTCTTCCGGCACACCTGGGGGGCGCGGGGGCTGAGAGGCGCGCGGGGCGGGGCGGGGACGGGAGGGGAGGGGAGGGGAGGAGAGGGGAGGGGCGGGGAGGAGAGCGGAGGGGCGGGGAGGAGAGCGGAGGGGAGGGGACGAGGAGAAGAGGGGAGGGAGGGGCGGGAGAGGAGAGGAGGAGAACGAGGAGGGAGAGGAGGGGGCGCACCCGCAAGCGCGCACTCACCCGAACTCGGTGTTCTTTCTGGAGCCGACAGTCCTCCAGGCCCAGCCCGGCCTCTGCGGGAGGCGACGGCAGGGTGGGGTCACCCGGGATGGCGGGCAGGTGCTGCGGCGCGGGGATCTCGGGGTTCTCGGGCCGCGCAGGCCCCTCCCGCGCGTGGAAGAGCTTCCCCGAGCTCACTGGGGGCAGCAGGCCCCGCGTCCTGGTGGGGCGAGGGTCGTGAGGGCGGCGGCCGGCCCGGGAAAGGCGGCCCTAGAGGGCTCCGCGCCTGGGGCGGGGCAGGGGCCGCGGGGCGTACTGGAGGACCAGGGGGCGGCCGGGGCGGGGCCTGGGGAAGTAGGGGTCCGTCCTAGCGAGGGGATACGAGGGACCGTTTCTGCTGGGTCGGGGCCTGGGGAGGGAGGCCAGATCCCGGGGACCCGCGGTCCCCACCCTGGTCTCCGGCGACTGACCCGGGGCTCCCGCACCCGGCCTTTGCGCAGGGGTCGAGGTGGGCGCGGCGGCTTGCGGGTGTCGGCGCCGGGCCCGGCCTCAGGGAGCGGGAAGCGGTCGATGGACAAGTCGGTGCCGTCGGCGAAGACCCTCGGGGCCGGAGTCTCGCGGCGTGGGATCCGGTGCTCACTGAGGACCTGCGGGGCGCGTCGGTCACCCCCACACCCCAGCCCCGGCCGCCCCACCGGGGACCCGCACCGACCTCGCCCTTGGGGCTCAGGAGCAGCGTCGCGCAGCCGCGGATGGAGAGGAGGGGAACGGGCTCCCGGCTCGAGGACGCGCGCAGCGGCTTCTTGGCGCTGCGGGTCGCCTCGCCCCAGACCTGGAAGGGCGTGGAGCGGCGGGTGAGGGGCGGCCGGGCCGGGCCGTCGGGGCCGGGCTCCCGGGCCGGGGCGCACCGTGACGTGGTGCCGCGGGGCCAGCAGCGTGCCCGGCGGGAAGCGGTACAGGCGCTCCGGGAAGCCGCGCACCAGCTGCTTCAGCACCATGCCGCTCAGGTCGGCCGTGCTCTCCTGCGACGGGTTGAAGATGCGGACGAACTTCTCCCGGCAGCTCACAGCCACGATCTTCAGGCCTGTCGGGCTGGGAAGAGAGGAGACGCTGTGAGGAGATGCGGCCGGTCCACCCGCACAGCTGCGCGCCCCGCCCGGAAACCAGCTCCAGCCCGGCGCCGGAGGCTTGGGTCACTCGCCCCTTACCTCTGCAGGAGTTCCGGGCTCCAGTGGTCGGGGTCTGTGCAGGGCTGGGGCGACAGGACCGGCTCGCCGTGCCTGGGTGAGTGGGTTTTCTGGAGATCTAGAGAGAGCAGCGCTTTTGGGGAGGGGACCCTCGAATGGAGTCCCCACCGGATGTTCCCCGTGAGGTCAGAACAGGCCTGCAACGCCTGGCGGGGCAGGGAGCAGGGCCAGGGTCAGATGGGGCAGGAAAGGTGGCTGGACCTTGGGGGCTGGAGGGCCACCTCCAGGGCTCTGAGTGAGATCACAGCTCTGAGGGGGTGGAGGGTGGGTGAAGGGTAACCAGGGGAGACCCGCCCCACTGCACCTTCTGAGTCCCTGCTGTAGCTCCCGGCCTGCACCAGCGCTTGCTCGGAGGAAGCGCGGTGGTCCCGGGGCGGGTGCCCTATCACCTGCACGAAGGAAGGCAGGCCCGGCCGGCAGCTGCTGGAGTCGGAGTCAGCGCCCCCTGAGCTGCTGGTGTTCAGACAGGGCAGGGAGCCCCACTCCACGGTCTTGTGATGCCGCTCGGAATGCTTTCCAGAGGACTCTGGGCTCCCTGTGTCCAGCTGTGGCCAGGGCCGGGGCTGCCTGTGGACCACGCTCTGCTTGATGGCCACTCCAGCTCCAGACCCCAGCCCTGCCCCCGTCCAGCCTCACAAGGCAGTGCAGCAGGGAGCCCCTCTTGCCTCCCAGTACCCAGGCTCAGTTCATGGCAGGACAGTGATGGCTGCCTCAACCCCAACGCATTCTACAGATCAGAGAACGCGCATTGGAAGGTTTAAGAGACTTATCCAGGGACACTAAATGGTCCTTTAGTGTCCTGCGTCTTCACCTGCCAAGGTGAGCCCTCCCTTCTGGCCCCTGGGGAGTCCCTGCTCTGTGCAGTTACTTTTGCTTTGAGCTGGGCTCCATGTTGGTGAAGAGGTTGGGATACCGGCGGGCAACGCTGTTCCAATCCACGTCCTCCAGCCGAAAGCCCTGGCCAGGAAGCAAGAGGCACATGGTCCTCCCCTCCCGCAGGGCTCCAGATACCAGACCACACACGTGGGAGGCCTAGCTCACCTCCCCGGTGGGGGCCTGAATGTTTTCAGAGAGGTCGCTTGGGTCCATCAGAGTCTCTGCCGTCACTACCTGCAAGAGGGGACCGGAAGCCAGTGGGCAGGGGCTGGGTGCTCCCCTACAGCACCTCTCCTCTTTGACCTCACCTGTGCTTTGAGGCCTCCTGATTCCTCCCTGCTGGAGCCCAGAGTTCCAGAGGCACCTGAGCAGGGCAGGCTTCCAGGCAGGCCAGGGCGCCCCAGCAGAGGCACCCGACGAGATGGGGAGGGCTGGGGAGGGCAGCCTGGGGCAGGAGGGCTTGGGGGACAGGCTCACCTCCACACTGCCAGTCTGGGATCGTAGCATGCGGCCCACCCACGAGGAGCGGGCCAGCTGCAGGAGGCAGGACTTCTGCAAGTTCTGCAGCTCGGCCTCCATCTCTTGGAGCGTGCGGGTGGTCTGCAGCAGCCGCTCCTCCAGGTGCTCCTTCTCCTGCTCCGAGAGGGCCTGTGGTTGGTGGTGGGGGGGTGTCTTCTGCAGAAGGCCCCCAGGCCAGCCCCAGCCTGGCTCCCCAACACCAGGACCCTGCCCACTCCCTGTGCCCCTGCCTCACCCACTGGGCTCGCTCCTTCTGTTCCTTCAACTCCTGGATCAGCTTCTGGACCTGGTTCTGCAGGAGTTTCTCCTGACTGTGGGAGCTCCTGGAGGAGGGGTGACCTCAGCAGCCCCCACCCTGCTCAGGCAGGGGTTCCTAATGTCAGGTCAGTGGCGAAGGAGGGGAGAAGGAGGGGCTCCACTGCCACCTTGGCCCCAAGGGCACACAGTACAGCCCCGCTGGGGCTGGCCAGCCTCCGGCTGGTCTGGACAAGGGTCTAGCACCCATCCACATGCGCAGGGTTAGGGTGGAGGCTATAGCGTGTTAACTTAGGATCAGGGTGGAGGGTCAGCGCGGGCAAGGATGAGGGTAAGGATCTGCCTCAGCGGTTGGGGTTGGGGTCAGACAGAAACCAGGAGTCCGGGCGAGGACAGGGCGGGGTTGGGTTGGGCTGGGGACTGTGCTGCAGACCTCTTGGGCGGAAGCCCCGCCACCTCTTCCAGGATGTGGCAGAGCCGGGCGTCCTCGCCATTCTGGATGGCCCACCGCAAGGCCTGGATCTCCAGTTCTCGCTGTCTCCACAGCAGCCGCAGTGTGCGAGGGTCCAGGGACTCAAGAGCCAACCTGCAGCGGCAGCAGACCCTGCTGCTTACTCAGGCCGGCCCCTGGCCACCTGGCCCAGGAGGCTCACCAGTCCTCCCTCTCCTCCTTACTGCGGGTCGGCAGAGCAGACCACCGGTGTGGGGTGGGGCGTGGTGTCTGGCAGGCACGTGGGAGTCTCGGGGGCTGCAGGTGCGCCTGCTGGAGGTCCCAGGTGACCACTGACCGACTCTTGCTCTGTGGGGGACAGGAGAGCCTCTTCCTCGGTTTCTTTAACCTCCTGGCCAGACTTGGGGGCCATTCTCAATGTTCTTCGGGAGCTGGGAGGGGTGGGGGGCCCGTCTGCCGTGTGCGCCTCGTGTGGCCACACAGGTTGGAGCAGCCCAGGCGTCACCACTTACTCACAGAGCGTTGCTCTCTGAAGGGACCCACATGTGGGTGTCCACACCCGTGTGTTTCTGACCAGGCTGGCGCAGCAGGTCACCACCCGACATGTCCCTGGCGTGTACCCCTGCCACCCAGGTGCTGGCCCTTTGCCTGTGATGTGGTGTCCCTCTTTCTCTCTCTTGTCCCCCCAGCTCAGGGCCCTACCCCCAGCACTCACCTGAGGCCCGACCTCCAAGCAGGCCTGGGAGGGAAGGGCTGTATACCGTTGCCATGGATACCAGCACCCAGAAGGGGTGGGGCTGTTTGTTACCAGGAGCCTCCAGGGAGACCCCAGACCAGGCCCCTAGGTGAGTTCTGGGCCAGCCCAGCCTGGAGGAGGTGTGAGAGGCTGAGCCACTGCTCAGCTTAGCGGGGGGACCACTTAGTGACCAACACCCTGAGGGAGGCCCCAGCATCCCCTACCTAGCCTGGCAGCAGCAGCGGGATAAATAGGGGGGCACTGCTGCCTGTGAGCCAGCCCAGCATAGCCATGGGTGTGTGGGGGAAGCAGACAGGTAACAGTGACAAGCTGGGGACTGTGCTGAACGCTAACTGGCAATAGTACACTCCTGCCCACAGCCTGTTTTTAAATTAATAATTAATTCTTTAGAGACAGGGTCTTGCTCCGCTGTCCAGGCTGGAATGCTTCGGTGTGATGACAGCGCACGTTAACCTCGAATTCCTGGGCTCAGGTGATCCTCCCACTTCCGCCTCCTGACTTGCTGAAACTACAGGCACCCGCCTCCACCGCCAGGCCCAGCCCACAGCTCCTTTGACCTCAGTGACAGGCACTTACCTGACCCCCAAACTGAAGCCTCACTTTTCCCAGCCGTGTCCACACCCTCTGGGCTACCCCATTACCATGACAAGTATTCCCTCTGCTCCAGGAGAAAAGCCAGGTCCCAGACCTGACCCATTAAAACCCAATCATTCCAGCTTTCACCCTTCATCTCTGCAACTTTCGGCTATGTAAGGGCTCCCTGGGGGAGCACAGGAGACAGGCGGGCAGGAGGCCCACGCCCACAACTCTTTCTGAGCTGGGCAGAACAATCAATGGCCCACACAGCTGACCGCGAGGCTGCGGGGCCCTGGGCGGGACAGTAGGGTAGGGGGTGAAGGAGCGGCTTCCAGCCAGCTTCACTGTGTGCATGGCCTGGCACTGGGTCCAAAAGGGGCAGGAAGGTGTCGGAGAAGAGCCTCAGCTAGAGTCCGGGCCTTCTGAGCGGGCACCTCCCGCACCAGGACTCTGCGCCCGCCAGCTCCGCAGGGCTCCACCTCCCTCGCCGGGACTGGTGACCCTGCGACCCCGCGACCCCTGCGCGTCCAGACTACTGCAGCTGCGGTAGGCCCCAAAGGCTGGCCCGGGAAGCGAGGGGAGGGGCTGGCCCCGCTGCCCCTGGACGCAGGCGGGGGTTGCGGGATCTCAAGCCAGAGACCCTTCCTGGGCGGGAACCCGCCACACTAGAAGGCTGCTGAGGAAGTCGGCCCAGGAGCGGGGCCAGACACCTACCCCGACGCCTGCCCGCGGGCCGCAGCCACCGCATTTCCGCGTTTTTCGCGGTAGGCGGGAGGTGGGGGCGGGGACTGCGGCTCGGCGCCCCCCTCCGACCCGCCCACACCTGTAGTCTCGGGGGGGGGCGGGGCGCGGCGACGAGCCAATGGGTCGGGGAGGGGCGTGACAGAGGCAGCCAATGGGCGCTGGGAGGGGGCGGAACGCCCGCGCTGAGCAGCCAATAGGGGTGCTAGGGGCGGGGCGTGCGGACCGCGGGCCAATGGGGGCGCGGGGCCCGGGTGCGCCGCGGCGCTGGGGGCGGCAGGTTGCGGCGGCGCCGGAGCGGGTCTCCAGGCTGGCGAGCGCCCAGGTGAGCCGCGCCGGGTCCCCGGTACTTGGGAGCGCGGGGCGCGCCTCGAGCCGGCCGGACGCCGACTCCAACTGGGGAGAGTTTTCCGCGATGCCCGGACGGAGAGCGGGGGCGGCGCCGCACCTGCGCCCGCCCTGCGGAACGGGGACGCCCTGGCTCCCGCCAGGCTGGGGTCGCGGCGCGGGCTTCGGTGCCCGCGGCGGGGACCGGGACTTTCGGGGCGAGCGCAGCGATTAGGCGGCAGCGGCGGGGCTCCCCGGGCTGGCGGGGGCTGCTCAGACCCGGAGTCTGCTCCATCTGCAGGGTCGAGGTCTGGGTTGCGACCCCGAGCGCCTCTGCGGCCTGAGCAGGTCGGGGTGGGGCGTTCCCATGCCGGCGGCCGCGGGGCCTGGCGTGCGGGCGCCTCCGCGCCGCCCGGGGAGGGGGCAGTGTCCTCCGAGCCAGGTGAGGCGAGTAGGAAATGCTGGATCTGGTTAATGATTCGCCTTGTTCCGGGAGTGCGAGCGTGGCAAGAGGAAGCTGGTGAAGTGGGGGAGGATGCGTGCTCCGGAGGGCCGCCACCCCAGGAATGTGTGGCTGGCGGGTGGGGCTGGCACAGGAGGGTGGGGCCCGTGCGGAGGGGCGGCAGCCCAGCCGTTTCTAGGGCAGGCCAAGAGGATGAGGAGAGGAGGACCAGCCTGCGATAGGAGTAGGCAGGTCCTGACCCGGTGCCTGCGCCCTCCCCACAGGACAGGCATGTTGTTGGGACTGGCGGCCATGGAGCTGAAGGTGTGGGTGGATGGCATCCAGCGTGTGGTCTGTGGGGTCTCAGAGCAGACCACCTGCCAGGAAGTGGTCATCGCACTAGCCCAAGCAATAGGTGAGTCCTCTCGGGGTCAGGCAGGCCGGGCAGGTAGAGCTGAAGTGGGACCTGGTGGTCCAGCTCCATGGTCTCCCCCAAGGAGAGTGGGGCTGGTTGCTGATCCTTTTTGTTCTTCCCAACTCTTCAAGCCAGGTGGACAGAGAGTCGGGGGGACATAGGCTGACCTTCTCCTCTTCTTCCCAGGCCAGACTGGCCGCTTTGTGCTTGTGCAGCGGCTTCGGGAGAAGGAGCGGCAGTTGCTGCCACAAGAGTGTCCAGTGGGCGCCCAGGCCACCTGCGGACAGTTTGCCAGCGATGTCCAGTTTGTCCTGAGGCGCACAGGGGCCAGCCTAGCTGGGAGGCCCTCCTCAGACAGCTGTCCACCCCCGGAACGCTGCCTAATTCGTGCCAGCCTCCCTGTAAAGCCACGGGCTGCGCTGGGCTGTGAGCCCCGCAAAACACTGACCCCCGAGCCAGCCCCCAGCCTCTCACGCCCTGGGCCTGCGGCCCCTGTGACACCCACACCAGGCTGCTGCACAGACCTGCGGGGCCTGGAGCTCAGGGTGCAGAGGAATGCTGAGGAGCTGGGCCATGAGGCCTTCTGGGAGCAAGAGCTGCGCCGGGAGCAGGCCCGGGAGCGAGAGGGACAGGCACGCCTGCAGGCACTAAGTGCGGCCACTGCTGAGCATGCCGCCCGGCTGCAGGCCCTGGACGCTCAGGCCCGTGCCCTGGAGGCTGAGCTGCAGCTGGCAGCGGAGGCCCCTGGGCCCCCCTCACCTATGGCATCTGCCACTGAGCGCCTGCACCAGGACCTGGCTGTTCAGGAGCGGCAGAGTGCGGAGGTGCAGGGCAGCCTGGCTCTGGTGAGCCGGGCCCTGGAGGCAGCAGAGCGAGCCTTGCAGGTGAGCCCGGGGACCTGATCCCCTGTCACTCCCCCACCCCTGATATGGGCAGATACGGGGATCACAGGGTCCCACTCGGGAGGCAGGTGAGCCCGGGGACCTGATCCCCTGTCACTCCCCCACCCCTGACGTGGGCAGATATGGGGGTCACAGGGTCTGACTCGGGAGGCAGGTGAGCCCGCGGACCTGATCCCCTGTCACTCCCCCACCCCTGACGTGGGCAGATACGGGGGTCACAGGGTCCCACTCGGGAGGCAGGTGAGCCCGGGGACCTGATCCCCTGTCACTCCCCAACCCCTGACGTGGGCAGATATGGGGGTCACAGGGCCCGACCAGGGAAAGTGCTCCCTCCGGAGCACAAGGGCTGTGGAGCCCAGTGGCTGTGCCTCCTAAGGATCTCATGTGTCCCCAGGCTCAGGCTCAGGAGCTGGAGGAGCTGAACCGAGAGCTCCGTCAGTGCAACCTGCAGCAGTTCATCCAGCAGACCGGGGCTGCGCTGCCACCGCCCCCACGGCCTGACAGGGGCCCTCCTGGCACTCAGGTCGGAGTGGTTCTGGGGGGAGGCTGGGAGGTGAGGACCTGGCCCAGCCCCACTCCAAGCTGACTTCCCAACCCACAGGGCCCTCTGCCTCCAGCCAGAGAGGAGTCCCTCCTGGGCGCTCCCTCTGAGTCCCATGCTGGTGCCCAGCCTAGGCCCCGAGGGTATGTCTGTGCCCCACCTCCCCCTGGGGCACCGGGCCCTCCTGTGGCTGCAGCCACCTCAGCCTGTGTCCTCCCGCAGTGGCCCCCATGACGCAGAACTCCTGGAGGTAGCAGCAGCTCCTGCCCCAGAGTGGTGTCCTCTGGCAGCCCAGCCCCAGGCTCTGTGACAGCCTAGTGAGGGCTGCAAGACCATCCTGCCCGGACCACAGAAGGAGAGTTGGCGGTCACAGAGGGCTCCTCTGCCAGGCAGTGGGAAGCCCTGGGTTTGGCCTCAGGAGCTGGGGGTGCAGTGGGGGACTGCCCTAGTCCTTGCCAGGTCGCCAGCACCCTGGAGAAGCATGGGGCGTAGCCAGCTCGGAACTTGCCAGGCCCCAAAGGCCACGACTGCCTGTTGGGGACAGGAGATGCATGGACAGTGTGCTCAAGCTGTGGGCATGTGCTTGCCTGCGGGAGAGGTCCTTCACTGTGTGTACACAGCAAGAGCATGTGTGTGCCACTTCCCCTACCCCAACGTGAAAACCTCAATAAACTGCCCGAAGCAGCTTGAGTGTGTGTGGAGGCTGCGCTGGGCAGGGTCTGAGGTCTTGAACTTGAGCCTCCATGGGGTGCCACTGAGCAGTACCCTGACACACCTGGGGCTCACCACAGCTGGAGTATCTGAGAATAGGATCCCTCAGGGTGCTCAGTAGGGCCCAGGGCTGGGGCTTCCTGAGCTCCACATTCCATCTGCTCTGCCTCACCTAACCCCAGGGGCTCTCCTGTGAGGGCCCCAGCCTGGTGGGCCTGCTGGTTCAGCCTGGCCTGACTGTCCCAGGCATTTGTCTGGACCCCCTCCCACCTGACTCTCTGTCATGTTGCCTGTGCCCCGCCAGCAGCGGGAACTGAGGACGTCAGGACAAGCTAGACCCGCCCGTCAGGTTTACTGAGAACTTGTGGGGGTGGATCCCACACTCAGGTCAGCCAGTCCCAGGCTGCTTCACCACCCCAGGGAGGGTATGGGTACCAGTGGGCAGGGGCTGCCTCCTCTTCTCCAGGTGGGTGTGAAATGTCTGCTCTGAGCTTGCAGCTTTGAAATCAGGGCAGGGGCCAGGCATGGTGGCTCACGCCTGTAATCCCAGCACTTTGGGAAGCTGAGGCAGGCGGATCACCTGAGGTCAGGAGTTTGAGACCAGCCTGGCCAACATGATGAAACCCCGTCTCTACTAAAAATACAAAAAATTGGCCGGGCGTGGTGGAGGGTGCTTGTAGTTCCAGCTACTCGGGAGGCTGAGGCAGGAGAATGGCGTGAACCCGGGGGGCGGAGTTTGCAGTGAGCCGAGATCGCGCCACTGTGCTCCAGCCTGGGCAACAAAGCAAGACTCTGTCAAAAAAAAAAAAAACAAAACCGGGTGTGGTGGCATGCACCTGTAATCCCAGTTACTTGGGAGGCTGAGGCAGGAGAATTAGTTGAACCTGGGAGGCAGAGGTTGCAGTGAGCTAAGATCACTCCACTGCACTCCAGCCTTAGTGACAGAGCAAGACTCTGTCTCCAAAATAAAAAAAAATTGTGTCCACAGCCCAGCCCCTGCCTGGGCCCTTGGGCTAGCTGTCACCTCTCCTGGTTCTAAGGGTAAGCCATACACTCCCAGCTCCAGGATCCATGGTTGGGGCTGGAGAAATCTTTTGTGTTGAGCAGAATGTGGAGGACCCCTATACCTGGGTACAGCCATGCATGGGAAGGCAGAGGATGGGGATGCCCTAGGTCAGGGGTGTCCAATCTTTTGGCTTCCCTGGGCCACATTGGAATACACTGAGGCCATACATGGGCCATACATGGAATACAGTAATGATAGCTGATAAGCTTTAAAAAAAAAATCGTAAAAAAAACTCACAATGTTGGCCAGGCACGGTGGCTCACACCTGTAATCCCAGCACTTTGGGAGGCCGAGGCGGGCAGATCCCAAGGTCAGGAGATCAAGACCATCCTGGCTAACACGGTGAAACCCCGTCTCTACTAAAAATACCAAAATTAGCCAGGCGTGTTGGCGGGCGCCTGTAGTCCCAGCTACTCGGGAGGCTGAGGCAGGAGACGAGCGTGAACCCAGGAGGCGGAGCTTGCAGTGAGCCGAGATTGGGCCACTAACTCCAGCCTGGGCGACAGATCGAGACTCTGTCTCAAAATAACAACAAAAAACAACTCACAATGTTTAAGAAAATTTATAGATTTGTGTTGGGCTGCATTCAAAGCTGTTCCATGGGCCAACAGTTGGACAAGTTTGCCCTAGATCATGGGGTCTTTGTGCTCTGAGAATGGGCGAGTTTGGGATGGACTCAGCTTTCTGTTGGTTGGCCCTGGATCTGGATCTGGTGCTGCCCCCTTTCTCTGGAGCACACAAAGGGAACAAGAAGGCCTTGACTTGGGCAAGGAAGCCATCCACAGGGCTCCCCAGAAGCCAGGGCCACCAGGAGCTCACTGCTGTGCAGAGGCAACTCGGCTTGGTTATTTCTTGCCTGAGGCAGGGAACAGGGAATGCAGGGAAGCCAGGCAGCAGCAGGAGGCTCCAAACGCTGGTGTCAGCAAGCCAGAACCCCCACCTGACTTCACTCCTGTCTGCCCAGCTCACAGTCGCCTGTCACTGGGAGGTCCTTGGGGCCTGGACCTGCCTGACCTGTGGCCCCAGAAGGGGCTAAGCCCAGAGTCACATGGGATGGAGCCTGGAATGCATAGGCCAAGTGGGTTGTGCCTGGGCAGCAGGCCTGGGATATGAGGGGCCTACTCCTCCATCCACAGCCCCGACCCACATTCTGGAGGGATGGTCGTACCTCTGTGACCAGCCCTCCACACCGTCACATAGGCCAGCAGGGGGCAATGCCAGGTGCCATCCAGAGCCCACCCCCATGTCCTCCCGGAGGTCATGAGCTCTGCCCTACGTAGCCCAGCCCCACAATGGGAAGGAGGCATGGAGCTGGCAGAGCATGCGCCACGCCGTCCCTGTGTGTGTTTCTGAGGAACTCCTGTTCACTCTGAGGCCACTGCCTAGGTGCCCGTCCCTGGTCTGCTGCTGCTGGCTCTGATGAAGCTAACCAGCCTTCTTCCCCACCAAGAGGGTGTCCCAGCAGCAGCTATGGCTATGTTCCGGCGGGGGGAAGGCGGGGAGCCTTCCTCCTCACTGGCTGTTTCATTTTTTTATTTTTTTGAGGCAGAGTCTCTCGTCACCCAGGCTGGAGTGCAGCGGCGTAATCTCGTCTCGCTGCAACCTCCACCTCCCAGGTTCAAGCGATTCTCTTGCCTCAGCCTTCCAAGTAGCTGGGATTACAGGTGCCCACCACCATGCCTAGCTAATTTTTGTATTTTTAGTAGAGACGAGGTTTCACCATGTTGCCCAGGCTGGTCTTGAACTCCTGATCTCAAGTGAGCGATCACCCGCGTCTGCCTCCTGAAGTGTTGGGATTACGGGTGTGAGCCACCACACCCGGCCTCTCACTGGCTGTTTCAGGTGAACCAAATCCCATGGCCCCAAAAAGTGGCCAGAGTGCTTCAGATCACTCAGCAAACCTTTGAGTTGCTGAAAAGTTTACTTTTGAGTTTTAAACTGTACTTTGAAAACTATATTGTGAACTGTGTTGACATGAGGAAAGGCTGGGCTCCCTGAAAACATCCAGTTCCACAGCAGGGCGGGCCCAAGCCCAGCCAATCCCCAGGCAATGCAGGGCAGGGATCCCACCTGGTATAAGTACGGGCAGAGGGCAGAGCCAGGCTGTATCGAGGGGCGGCGCTGGGACCCTCCTCGCCCAGAATTCCTACTCATCCCCAGCACAGAAGTGCTCTGTAGGGCCAGCTGAGGACACCCCGGTTCACTGAGGGTGGCCCACAGTAAGTCGCCGTCTGGCAGTAAGTTAGCTCTGCAGGTGTGGACCCCAAGACCACACACGGCCTTTCTCAGGTGCAGGTCCTGCCAAGCCTCACTTCGCAGTGGTGACAGGCAACCCCGTCAGGGCAGGGAGCTTCCAAAGGCCAGTCCGAGTCCATGCCAGGCGTCCACTAAATCTGCCTCTCCCTCTCCAGCGAGCAGGTGCAGCCCTCAACTCCTGCAGGCCTGGGGAGCGGAGACAGGGCCTGTAGGCTCGGACACGACCCGGTCCTGATTTTAACAGTAGACTTGAGAAGGCAAGCTCAGCAGACAGGCTGCTGGAGGATCCACCCGCTGTCTCCCGCAGCGGCCCCACTGAAGCGGCAGAAACACACAGAAGCACCAAATCTGTCACTCTCTTCCCGTAGGAAGTCCCCAGAGGTGGCCCTCCGGAGGATGGTCCTGTTGGCTGAAGATATGACCACACCTGTGCCTGCCCAGGGCCACCTTCAGCTTGGCAACAGGAACTCCGCACACTGGTACCCTGGACACACAAGGAAAAGAAAGTTCCCTCCAAGAGGGTATCTGGCCCAGCCTCAGCCCCACCAAGCGGAGGGCAGCAAAGCCCCCGAATGATTTCGCTTACCCCCACCCGCCGTCCCTGCTGGCCAGACAGGCACACCCCGTCCATAGGGCACCCCCTCCCCACGGTATCCAGCTGCCCTCGCGTCCCCGTGTGGCCGCTCGCCTGCCCGCCAGACCCGGACACGGGGCCAGGAGGGTCGCGCTGCCCAGGCACAGATCAGCCGCTGTCACACGCACAGTGGGTCTGGGGCAGCGCAGTGTGCGGTGGGCAGGGGCTGCCCTGCGCCTGGAGGCACTGCCGGGTGGGCGGGCGGAGAGATTGACCCCACCCCCGTCCCCTCCAACTTGGGCGTCCGAGCCCCGCCGCGCCTGCCCAGCCCGACCCCCCGCAGCCCCCGCGGGAGGGCGGCCTCTGAGGGGCGCCCCGCCCGCCAACCTGGGATCCCTCGCGCGTCACCTGCGACCCCGGCGCGGGGCCGTCGCCGGCTCTCGGCCCAACTTCAGCTGCGGCCGCTGGCACCCTCTCGCCCCCCGGCCCGACCCGACCGGCCCCGGGCCCCGCGGCTCCACGCCCAGCCCCGTATGCAAATGACCTGGTCCCTCAGCCAATGGCCGGCCTAGCCGGGCCCGCCCTACCGCAACGCAGCCAGTGGGCGCGAGGGGGGTTCGCGACGCCCCGCCCACCGCCGCGCGGCCCTTCGCGGGCGAGGCCGGCGCGTTCTTTTCTGCACGTCTGCCCGGGGAGGGGCGGCACCTGCCGGGCGGGGCCTGCGGGGCGCCAGCTGCGAGGGCGCGGCGGGGCCAGGGCGCGTCCCCCGGCCGGGCGGATGGTACGGCCCGAGGTGGTCCTCCTCCCGCCGCGCGGTGGTATGGCCCGGGCTCGCGGGGCTTCCGGGCTGGGCGTGGGGCGCAGCCTGGCGACGGGTCCTCCGCCCGCGGGTGTGCGTGGGGCGGCAGGGCCGGCCGGGAGCTGCCCCTCTTCCCGCGGCGCGGTGGTACGACCCGGCCGCCTCCGTGCCCCGCACCCGCGTCCCGCGGGCCCGCCCCCGCCAACCCGCTGGGCGCCCGGCGCACGTATCCCGGGCCGTGACCCGGGTGGGGCCTGCGCGGGCCCGGACACGGCGTCCTCGGGACGGACGCACCACCCCCCGGGCGGCTTGGGGTCCCCAAAGGACGCCCGGGTCCGTCCTGCTGGCGAAGAGGGGGCTCTGGCTCTGCCTGGTTTGCCTGGCGACCCCCACGGGGCGCCCTTGGGGGCTCTGGGTCCCTCCTGCGCGCTCTGTCTCCGCGGAAGCCTCTGGAGCCTGGAGGGGGTGCCTCAAGGGCTCAGGGGTCTTCGCAGCCCTGTGCCGGTCTTTGAGGGGACGAGGCGAGAGAATCCTGTCTGTGCGCTGAAAACGTGTAAAATCAAAGGAGCCTTGACGGTTTGACCTTCGTTAGGACTCGCAGGGCCAGCTTCAGACGTGGAAGTATCGGACTCCGGGGTGGGGCTCCAAAGTGGCAGCCAAAGGAGATTTGGCCGCCGGCCCCCCTTGGCACTGTCACCCTGGTCCTCGGCCCCGGGCCGTCTCCCCTCAGCTCCCTGGCCCTAAACTCACCGCCCTGCTCTTTGTCCTCCCCTGGCCCCATGACCTCCCTGCCTCGGCATCCGCGCAGGCCTGGGCCGCAGCCTGCCCCCTGCCCCAGCCCCGGCGGCGAAGTGCTGGGGCCCCAGGGAGCTTCCGAACCAGCCCATGTCCTCAGGGGCTTGAAGGCTGGGGACAAAAATTCAGATGCAGAGTCTGGGGTGACTCAGACATGATCAGCAAGACATGACCGAGGTCTTGCTGACCCCTTGACCCTTGGCCCCCGATAGAACCGAGTGGCTCCTTGCACCTGTGGCTGCCTGTGGATGGGGAAGGTGCCCAGAGGATCACGGAGCCACTCGGTTCTATTGGGGGTCAGGGGTCAGCAAGACCTCGATCCTGTGGGTCGTGAAGGAGCCTCTAAGAGTCAGTGGGGTCCCTGAGAAGGCCCACGTCTTCATGGCAGGGCAGAGGCTCCTAGGGCAGTCAGACTAGGGGACAAGAAGGGGCAAGAGGACAGGGCAGCTCTGTGTTCCTGTCGTGCCCTGCTGACGTGAACCCACTTCTGCCCCCAGTCCTGCCAATTTCACAGGCACCTTTTCTCAGCATCTGCAGTGAGTGGGATGGTCCCTCCGCCAAAAAGAAGATATATCCACATCCTAATACCCAGGCTTCCTAAATGTGCCCTCATCGGGAGAAAGCATCTTTGCAGATGTCATTAAGGGAAACATCTTGAAACGAGATCATCCTGGACTTTCTGGGTGGGCCCTAAATCCAATGATCAGTGTCCTTATAAAAGACAGGGAAAACAGGCCGGGTGTGGTGGCTCAAGCCTGTAATCCCAGCACTCTGGGAGGCCGAGGTGGGCAGATCACCTGAGGCCAGGAGTTTGAGGCCAGCCTGGCCAACATAGTGAAACCCCATCTCTACTAAAAATACAAAAAAATCAGCCGGGCATGGTAGTGTGAGCTTGTAATCCCAGCTACTTGGGAGGCTGAGGCAGGAGAATCGCTTGAACCTGGGAGGTTGGCAGTGAGCTGAGATCACGCCACTGCACTCCAGCATGGGCAACAGAGTACGACTCTGTCTCAAACAGACAAACAAAAAACACAAAAAAAGAGAGAAGGCCGGGCGCGGTGGCTCATGCCTGTAATCCCAGCACTTTGGGAGGCCGAGGAGGGTGGATCACCTGAGATCAGGAGTTCGAGACCAGCCTGATCAACATGGAGAAACCCCGTCTCTACTAAAAATACAAAATTAGCCGGGCGTGGTGATGCATGCCCGTAATCCCAGCTACTCGGGAGGCTGAGACAGGAGAATCACTTGAACCTGGGAGGTGGAGGTTGAGGTGAGCCGAGATCGCGCCATTGCACTCCAGCCTGGGCAACAGAGCAAGACTCCGTCACAAAAAAAAAAAAAAAAAAAAGGCTGGGCGCGGTGGCTCACGCCTGTAATCCCAGCACTTTGGGAGGCCGAGGCAGGCGGATCATGAGGTCAGGAGATCGAGACCATCCTGGCTAACACAGCGAAACCCTGTCTCTACTAAAAATACAAAAAATTAGCCGGGCGAGGTGGCGGGCGCCTGTAGTCCCAGCTGCTCGGGAGGCTGAGGCAGGAGAATGGCGTGAACCCGGTGGGCGGAGCCTGCAGTGAGCAGAGATTGCACCACTGCACTCCAGTCTGGGCGACAGAGCAAAACTCTGTCTCAAAAAAAAAAGGAGAGAAAGAGAAAAGAGACACAGACACAGAGGGAGGCCATAGGAAGCCATAGCCAAGGAACGCCTGGAGATGAAGCTGGGAGAAGAAGGACCTCCCCAGATCCTCAACAAGGAGGGTGGCCCTGCCAGCCTGGATCTCTGACTGCTGGCTTCCAGACTGAGAGAATGCCTTTCTGTTGTCTAAGGGCTCTGGTTTGTGGCCGTTTGATATGACAGCCCTGGGACACACAGACACCTGCCTTCCCTAGGTAGAGAATGCAGCCCTGCCTGTTCCCTCCCCCAGCTCTGAGAGTTTTGACTCCTTTGTTCTCTCCCCACCCACCTCCTCCAGCCACCCCTGCCCCTGCCTCCCCCAGGCATCCACCTGGCTCTGGGGCTCCCTGCTGCTGGGAGTGGGATGGGTCTCAGCAGGGGGCGATGACTGGGCTCATTGCCCACCAAGCCCTGTATGTGCACACGGACCTGATGGTGGGGTGGGGGGCAGGGGTGGGAAGGGGCTGGGCTAGGCCCTCCGGGATAAGCTGGCCTGGCGGGACAGAAGCAAGGGAGCTCCCAGCCCAGCTCCATCCTCCCGTGCACACCAGGAGCATGCACACCATGCTTGGCGTCTGCAAGGGGCAGGGGCAGCACACGGCAGTGTCGACCAGGAATCTGGCCGGAGCCTCAGAGTACAGGTCTGTGTGAGGCTGTGTGGGCAGGATGCACATGTGTGCACACTGACACTAGCAGGTGATGGGGGTTGGGGGGTGACCCGTCAGTGTACGGGGGAGGTGACAGTACTGATGAGGGGGTTGTATACAGGAGGTGTCTGCCTGCTGGTGTGTGAGGCATCTATCCACGTGCGAGCAGGTAAGGAGTCATTTTATGTCAGGTGTGTGGGTAGCGGTGGGGGTGGGAGTCAGGAGGTATTGGTATGTGCCCCTGCTCTCATGCTCTCAAGTACCACCTATGCACAGTTTGGGCCTAGTTTGGCTCTGGGCAGCTGCCTGGAGATACTTCTCACACCTGAGCCTGAGTGCTGTCTGACATACCTGGGTTGGTTGTGCACTGACCAAGGATTATGCTCACTGAGGACGTCCTTCATGTCTCCATGTGGATGTCTGTGTTTATTTATTTTTTATTTTTTTGAGACGGAGTCTCGCTGTCGCCCAGGTTGGAGTGCAGTGGCGTGATCTCGGCACTGCAGGCTCCGCCCCCTGGGGGTTCACGCCATTCTCCTGCCTCAGCCTCCCGAGTAGCTGGGACTACAGGCGCCCGCCACCTCGCCCGGCTAATTTTTTGTATTTTTTTTTTTTAGTAGAGACAGTTAGCCAAGATGGTCTCGATCTCCTGACCTCGTGATCCGCCCGCCTCGGCCTCCCAAAGTGCTGGGATTACAGGCGTGAGCCACCGCACCTGGCGTTTATTTATTCATTTATTTATTTTTGAGACAGAGTCTCACTCTGTTGCCCAGGCTGGAGTGCAGTGGCGCGATCTTGGCTCACTGCAGCATCTGCCTCCCAGGTTCACGCCATTCTCCTGCCTCAGCCTCCCGAGTAGCTGGGACTACAGGCACGCGTAACCATGCCCAGGTAACTTTTGTAGTTTTAGTAGAGATGGGGTTTCACCGTGTTGGCCAGGTTGGTCTCCAACTCCTGACCTCAGGTAACCCTGCTGCCTCAGCCGAAAGTGCTGGATTACAGGTGTGAGCCACCATGCCCGGCTTTATTGTTTTTGAGACATGGTCTCACTCTGTCACCCAGGCTGCAGTGCAGTGGTGCCATCGCGGTTCACTGCAGCCTCAACCTCCTGGTCTCAAGCAATCCTCCCACCTCAGCCTCCCGAGTAGCTGGGACTACAGGTGTGCACTACCATGTCAGGCTAATTTTTTAAATTTTTTTGTAGAAAGGAAATCTCACCATGTTGCCCAGGTTGGAACTCCTGGGCTCAAGTGATCCTCCCGCTGTGGCCTGCCAAAGTGCTGGGATAACAGGGCAAGTGCCACCGTGCCTGGCCTGGGTGCATGTGTTTATTATGACAATTACCAGCAGCCCCCCAGGCATCCCGTCCTCCTTCCCAGGAGCCTCGGCGTGTCTGTGGATGCCCCTGCATCTAGTGTCCAGCAGGCAGGCACGTGGCACATGTAAAGGTAGGGGAGGTGCCTGGTGCAGGGCAGAGGGCGGTCCCGCAGCCCGCTGGCTGATCACACTGGACCCCACCTGAGGCGTACCTATCTCGTCCTCACAGTGACCTAAGAGGTAGGCCTGAGCACCCACATTCCTGTTTCACAGCCAAGGACACAGAGGCACACAGAGGTTGAGAAACAGACTGAAGTGCGTGAGTTCAGGTGGCTGGCCTGGGTGACTGCAGTGACACCCAGCCCCTCTGGCCCACCGAGAATAGATTGCTCCAGAGTCCTCCTCAGTCGTCGGCACCATCCACTCCTCCTTCCTGCAGGGGCATTTTCAGAACCCATAAGTGCCTGTTATTTCTCCCATTGCAAACAGAAAACTGTGGGCGAAAGATTACCTAGGTGCCGAAGCAAGAGACTGAAGGCACAAACTGTTTCAGTATAATAAAGAAAATAGAATAAGAATAGTCCTAATACGAATTAGATACAGAGATGATCATGGAAAATTATCAATCATTATTATAAATATTAGTCATTAGCTTTTAATATTACTCTTTGTGGCATTACTAATACAACCTAGGAATAACCGGCGGGTATAGGGTCAGGTGCTGAAGGGACGTTGTGAGAAGTGACCTAGAAGGCAAGAGGTGAGCCCTCTGTCACGCCAACATAAGGGCCGCTTGAGGGCTCCTTGGTCAAGCGGTAACGCCAGTGCCTGGGAAGGCACCCGTTACTTAGCCGACCGTGAAAGGGAGTCTCCTTTCCTTGGAGGAGTCAGGGAACACTCTGCTCCACCAGCTTCTTGTGGGAGGCTGGATATTCTCCAGGCCTGGCCCGCAGTCATCCGGAGGCCTAACCCCCTCCCTGTGGTGCTTGAATGATCACACTCCTTATCCACTTTCATGCTCCTCCCGTACTCCTGGCTCCTCTTTGAAGTTCGTAGTAGATAGCGGTAGAAGAAATAGTGAAAGTCTTAAAGTCTTTGATCGTTCTTCTAAGTGCAGAGAAGAAAATGCTGACATATGCTGCCTTCTCTCTTTGCTTCGGCTGCCTAAGAGGGAAGGGCCCCCTGTCCTATGATCACGTGACTTGCTTCACTTTATCACTTAGAAGATTCACCCTCCTTACCCTGCCCCCTTGTCTTGTATGCAATAAATATCAGCGCACCTAGGCGCTCAGGGCCACTACCGGTCTCCACGTCTTGATGGTAGTGGTCCCCCGGGGCCCAGCTGCTCTTTATCTCGTGTCTTTATTACAATCTCTGGTCTCTGCACACGGGGAGGACACCTGCTAAGCCCCCGTAGGGCTGGACCCTACAGAAAACCACACCCCTCTCTTGCCCTGCTCCTTAGTTACCTCCACCTTTACCTTCCCCTTTGCAGCAAATTGACCTGAAAGAGAAGTTGGTGTTCACAGCCCCTGCGTGCTCTCTGCTCACTCTCCAAACTCCAGCCCCTGGCCCCAGCGCCGCTGGCCCTCGGTGAGTCGCAGTGGCCCACCCTGCTGCACCCAGGCTCCCTCCCCCGCCTGTGTGTGCACGCCCTCTCTGGCTTCCAGAAGCCCCTCTCCTGGTTTGTCCTCCGGCCCCCACCCCTAGCACCCCCGTGCCCCTTCCTAGTCTCCTTTGCAGATTCCAAACCTCTTCAAGTTGGAGTCCCAGAGTTCAGGCACTGGTCCCCAGTCACACCCCACATGCGATTCCCACATAGTTCTCTTCATCCAGTGCAGCCTCTGCCCACTGCATCTCCTCTGACACGTCCCATTCCCCCAAGGGCGCTAGATAAAGGGGCACCTGCGGACACACACGCTGAGGCTCCTGGGAAGGAGGACCGACCGCCTGTGTTCAGCTTAGAGCCCCCGACCTCCATCTGTCGCTGCTCCTCGGGGGCTGCTGGTAGTTGTCATAATAAACACAGACACCCACGATGAGACGTGAACACGCTCCTCAGTGAGCATTCTTGGGCAGTGCACAACCTCCCCAGCCATGCCAGCCCGCGCTCAGGCCTCCCCCGTCTTCCCCGTCTCTCCGGCGTCGGTTCTCAAGCTCGTCCTTCCCCGCCTCATTTCTCCAAAAGTCCGCAGCAAATCCTGGCAACTCCGCCTTCAGCATCTACCGGGAGCCGGCACTTCCCACACCTGCGCAGACCCACCCGGGCCCCAGCCCAGGCAGCCCCTGCACGGGGAGCCCGCGGGTCTCTGGCGCCCGCTCGGGACGCCTCCCCAGCGCTCCCCGCAGAGCGGCCAGGGGGTCTCGCGAGTCCGCGCCAGCTCGGGATCCCCGGAGCCTCCCCTGGTGCGCTGCAGCCACGCAGGCCTGCGTCCCGAGGCCCACACGGCTTCTGCGCGGCATCCTCAGGACGACCTGGAGCCAAATCCACACGGGACGGCACAGCAGCGTCCTGCCGAGCCCGCCTCGTCCGCCAGCGCGCACGATTCACCGCGCCTGCTGCGGGACGGGCGGACGCGGGGCTGGGCTGGAATAGCCGGCTCACGGAGGGCTCCGGCAGTGTTTGTTCAGAGGAGCGCGGCGCTGGTAGCAGGCGACGCCAGGACTCTTCTCCCCAGGTGCTCCCGCCGCGCGCGGGGCTAGGGAGGAGCTGCGGGCGGGGTTGCGGCGTGGGGGCGGGGCTGCGAGGGTGGGGGCGGGGCTGCGGAGCAGCGGGCGTGAGGCGGGGCTGCGAGGGAGGGGGCGGGGCCGTGGGCGGCCGTCCCGAGGCAGGGCGGGGCTGCAGACGTGGGGGCGGAGCTGCGGGCGCGAGGCGGGGCGGGGCTGCGGGGGTGGGGGCGGGGCTACGTGCGTGGGGGCGGGGTGGGGCTGCGGGCCCGAGGAGGGACGGGGCTGCGGGCGTGGGGGCGGAGCTGACGTACAGGAAGCAGCTCCCATTCGCTCTGGGCGGTGGGCGGAGATCCGGGCGGTACCAGCTGTCCCGGCCGCGGGGGGGACGGCCTGGACCAGCCCATGGTCGCGGGTTAAACAGTACGAGCTCTTCCAGGATATTGGTCTCCCCGGGCGGCAGTCCTGCATTAAAGAGTGTTTCCAAGGTGGAAGGGAGGCCGTTTGAACGCCTCGAGACCCCCGGCTGCAAGGAGTGGCACCTTCCTCACTTCAGTCATTTCTTTCCCGCTCTGGTCTCAGTGGTTCCAGTCAGCGAGCAGGACAGAGGAGCCCGGAAGAGGCGCCGTGCACTTCCGGGTCGAAGAGCGCACGGCGGCGGCAGAGGCGGCGGCGGCCGGGCCTAGGAGCGACTCTCGGTCGTGCAGCGGCGGCGAGCGCTCGCGAGCGGCTGCGGGACGCGAGGTTTCCGGGTAAGTGCGGCGGCCGCGCCGGCCCTGGGGGCCCTGCTCCTCCGGGCCGCGGGCCGCCTGTGGGCGCCACGCGCTTTGTCTGCGGCCTGCACCGCGGGGCGAGGCCTGCGCCGCGCTGGCCGCGGGCCGGGAGGGCGGGCGGGCGCGCGCGCGCTGGGAGGCCCCGCCGAGACTGGGAGGCCCCGCCGAGACTGGGAGGCCCCGCCGAGACTGGGAGGCCCCGCCGAGACTGGGAGGCCCCGCCGAGACTGGGAGGCCCCGCCGAGACTGGGAGGCCCCGCCGAGACTGGGAGGCCCCGCCGAGACTGGGAGGCCCCGCCGAGACTGGGAGGCCCCGCCGAGACTGGGAGGCCCGTGGCCTGCGGGCGGACGTCCTGGGCTTGCGAGGACGCGGCGAGAGCCCACTCGCCTCGCTCTGTGGCACCCACGCCCATGCCCCCTGCGAGTCCGCCCTGCCGCGTTTGGGAGAGAGCTGTGACTTCGTTGCCTTGTGTCCGGCCCCTGTGCATGGTTGCCGTCGTGGGCTTCTGGCCTTGTCTGCATGTCCACAGGCCTGTGTGGCTGGCGGTTTTCCTATTCCTTAACTCTTGCAGTCCTCACAAGAGCCTCTCAGGTGTAGGTATTGTTCCCGTTTTACAGAGGAGGGGATTGGAGCCCAGAAAGGCTAAGTAACTGGCCAGCGCCGGCAGCCGGGGATCCGCGCCAGCCCCGACTCCTACCATGCTCCTTTTGACGGGGCTTGTGTTGCCCCTTCTTCGGAGTTTATGTGCTTTACTTGTTTCGGCAACAGCAGAACAGCAGTCAGCTGGGTGAACCACGTTCTGGCCAGTGGTCAATGGACAGGCTCTGAGGCCGAGCTGAGGTTTGACTTCGGGTTTGGCATAGTTGATCTCTCTCCTGGACCATCCGGTTTTCTTTCTTATTGGAAGAATGTTAAGTCAGAGTGCTAGTGGATGGATGGCACCTCAGCATCATGGCCATGACAAGCCTGGCCTTGGCCCTCAGCAGGGCTGTGTTTATCTCAGGCCCGCGGAGACCTTTGTGCGTGCCTGACTTTTTGACTTCCATTGCAGTTGACAATTTTGAGTTCTCCTAGCTGATACAGCAGATGGTGAATACAAGAATAAAAGTCGGCCTGAGTTGAGGTGTTGGACTTGGCTGCAGGCTTGTTCAGTGCCTGGGATGGGCACTCAGGTGCCGAGACTGGCGTGGAACGGGGTTGCAGGCACCCCGGATACCAGAGGCCCTTTTCATTCCTTAGTAACAGTTGGGACTGCCAATGCATTGGTTCCCCTGAATTTGAAAAGAGAGAGAAATAGCCTTTCCAGTTTTTTGTTTTCCTCTTTAATCCCCCAAATCTGGAGGCTAAGCAGGAGAGTCACAGTGGTTCCTCCACCCCAGAGCTCTGCTAGCCCAGCCAAAGGTGGCCAGCAGCTGGGAAGGGCTGTGGTCTTTTCTGCAGAAATGGCTTCCTGGCCTGTGGCCTGGGACATGGCAGAGGTGGGTATGGGGAAGGGAAGATTTGTTGGAGTTGGGGCTGCTGGTGCAACCAGGAGGTCCTAAGCTAGGGGCTCCCATTAACCCAGCATCCTAACTACAGGTCCTGGTGGTCCCAAACAGGTCTTGTGCCTGGTGCTTGTGCCAGAGGGTACCTGCGGAGGCTTCCTGGGTTATTTTGTGTTCTCTGGCAAAATAGCCCCTGGTTACTTTTGTGTGATATCGAGGAAGGATGTTGTTCAGCCTCACGTAACCTGAACGTTCCTGCTGCTGTGGTGGAGGAGTGTAAGAGGCCCGTGGAGTCTTCCCTCACCAGCTGTGGTAAAGTTCAAAGGCCTCAGGACTTAGCCCCACAGGTGCATGGACTCGCAAAGTTCAGCCTCATTCCTGAGCTGGTATTTCTGGCCAGCTCCTATGTGCCAAACCCCACACGGCCTCACTGATCTCTTCTGGCAGCCCTGGGGCAAGCCCTGCCATTGCCTGTCGCCCCACCTAACCCTTGGAGGTGGTCCCCAATCTCAGTGCATCAAGGGAGAGGCCAGGAGCTGTTTGTTCACATACTACGGCTCACTGCAGCCTCGAACTCCTGAGCTGAAGTGATCTTTGCACCTCAGACTCCCGAGCAGCTGGGACTACAGGCGGTTTCCACCACACCTACCTGGTTTTTAACGGTTTTGCCATGTTGCCCGGGCTGGTCTCATAACTTGCAGGCTCAAGTGATCTGCCTGCCTCAGCCTCCCAAAGTGCTGGGATTACAAGCATGAGCCACCACGCCCGGCTGATTCACATTTTTTTTTTTGAGACTGAGTCTCACTCTGTCGCCCAGTGGCATGTAGTGGCGCGATCTCAGCTCACTGCAACCTCCGCCTGCCAGGTTCAAGCAATTCTCCTCCGGAGTAGCTGGGACTACAGGTGCACGCCGCCACGCCCGGCTCATTTTTTCTATTTTAGTAGAGATGGGGTTTCACTGTGTTGCCTAGGCTGGTCTTGAACTACGGAGCTCAGGCCGTCTGCCCACCTTGGTCTCCCAAAGTGCTAGGATGACAGGCGTGAGCCACTGCACCTGGCTACCAATTCACATTTTTTACTTTCTATGTGAAATTCATCATCAAATGAGGATTTGCACTCGGGACAGTTGGACCCTGGGACTCCCCCAGCCCTGCTCCTCCCCCCAGCCCTGCTCCTACCCCCAGCCCTGCTCTGTTATCTCTTAGGTGGTCTCTTTGAAGTGTTCCTTGGTAGATTCATGTGAGAGAGTCTGCCTCCCTCTTTCAGATATGTTTCTCCAGGGCAGGGACTGCATTCGCCTTGTGCTGCACAAAGTAGGAGCAGGGTAGGTGTTGGAGCAGGCGTCCTGGAAGATGTGGGGTCTGTTGTCAGGGTGGTCACAGCTATTGCCAGGGAGTTAAGGTCCTCTTATCTGAGAGCTGTGGTCACTGCTAGGTCTCAGTGCATGCTGTGGGAGAGGGGTCACCCTCCTGGATGGGCCGTGGCCCTCGTGTGTCTCTCAGAGCCAGTGTCTCTAGGATTCAGGTGCGGGACGAGCAGGGCGTCTCTGCGGAGTTGCTGGGTCCACCAAGCACCAGGGGTGCAGACTGCCTTGAGCGGGGATCATGACCAGGTGTTTTCACCTTAGGGTGGCAGGTAGAAGAAAGGTTAATTACTAATTTGGCAAAACTACTTCTACAATCGCTGTTTCCAGGCAGTAGTAAGATTTGGCAGTTGACAGTTGGATGGAGTTGACATTCTTCACTGTTTTATAAGGCATCATCTTAGAATCTAGGGTTTTGCACTGTCTTGTCAGATGGGAAGTGAGGCCGTCCTGGTTTCTGAGCCCCGTTAGGGTTTGTTGTCCAGGGGTTTCCAGACAGCAGTGGCGCTGACAGCCACTTTCCCCCGTTGCTGTGGTACATGTGCAGCCCACAGTGGTGGTGGGAGCTGAGCTCCAATGCAAGGAGGCCCTGAACTCGAGGGCAGCTCTGGCCCCCTACTTCCTGGCCTCTTGTGCGATGCGCTTTCCTCTGATCATGGATGGAGGTTGGACTTGGTGGGAAACAGAGTGCTGCAGGGCCGGCTTCACTGCCTCGCTGGATTCCTGACTCACTCTCCTAGGACAGGCCTTTCCTCCGAGAGTCGCCTGGGAAACAAGGTCAATAGCACTGATGAGAAATGAACCACGTGCACGTATCTCCTTTCTTATCTGGGACCAAAGTTTGAGGCCCTGGTGTGGAAGGAGGAGCGTGTCCAACTAGATTTCCCAAGGCTTTGTACGGGATCCTGTGTGGTTTCACAGTGACCTTGCAGAGTGGGAAGGGCAGGGGTCCCGGCTGACGGGTCAGGGCCTTGAGCAAGTGGTCTTGGGAGCCGAGGGGTGGGCCTGGCCTCTGTGCCTTCTGCCTCCTCAGCTCTGGGTACCACTGGGGACTCAGCAGCACCCTGGTGGATGGGGTTGGGGTGCGGTCAGAGGAGCCTCCAGGCATCCCAACAGTGGCCAGCCTTGGCAGGGAGAGCACCCTACGTGTCACTGAGGCCCCTCTTGTGCCCAGCTGATAAAGCCCGGCTCTGCCTCAGCTCAGGATGAGGCCGTTTTGTTCGTATATGGTGTTGCGATTCCTCAGGAGCATTGCAGTTTTTTGAGATGGAGTTTTGCTCTTATTGCGCAGGCTGGAGTGCAGTGGCGCGATCTCGGCTCACTGCAACCTCCGCCTCTCAGGTGCAAGCGATTCTCCTGCCTCAGCTTCCCGAGTAGCTGGGATTACAGGCGCCCGCCACCACGCCTGGCTAATTTTTGTATTTTTAGTAGAGACGGGGTTTCATCATGCTGGCCAGGCTGGTCTCAAACTCCCGACCTCAGGTGATCCGCCTGCCTCGGCCTCTCAAAGTGCTGGGGTTACAGGCGTGAGCAGCTATGCCTGGCCTAATTTTATATTTTTAGTAGAGATGGGGTTTCTCCATGTTGGTCAGGCTGGTCTCAAACTCCCGACCTCAGGTGATCCGCCCGCCTCAGCCTCCCAAAGTGCTGGGATTACAGGCGTGACCAATTTTTTTTTTTTTTTTAGTTAAAAACAAATTTTTATTTTCTGGCCGGGTACAGTGGCCAGCTAGGATCTGGCTTTATGGGTAGCTCTGTAAATGTGAATCATGTGTAAGGCTTACTGGTGAGGGTTGTTCTGTGGGTGATATCTTAGGGCTCACCCTTCACGTGCTGTGGCGGTGGATGTGACACTGGGACACTGGGGTGTGGCCTGTGGGGATACTGCTGAGAGTTGTTCTGTGGGTGATATCTCAGGGCTCACTCTTCACGTGCTGTGGCGGTGGATGTGACACGGGGATGTGGCCTGTGGGGAGAGGTCATAACTCTTCAGAGGGTTCTTTGCAGCCTGGGACAGTTTGGAAGTTGCTTGGCTCTTCTTTCTTTCAGAGCTGAGCTCAATGTGCAGCAATGGATGACGACAGCCTGGATGAGCTTGTGGCCCGGAGCCCAGGGCCGGATGGACACCCACAGGTCGGCCCTGCGGACCCGGCAGGTGACTTTGGTGAGCTGCCTAGCGCCGGGTAGGGGCGTCCCCAGGAGGAGCAGGGTGCCTGGTGTTTCCCTTTGGAGGTCGTCTGTGTGTGTCACTTGTCAACTTTCAGTCTAAAAAAATTATGCTTTGATTTTAAATTGCGGAAGTAGTGTATTGTTTTGTTTTATTTTTAATGCAAACAACACAAATGTTGAACGAAAGGATGTTCCCTTTCCTTGCTTGTGCCCCCACCTTGCCGGCCCTGGGGAAGCCGTTAGCCGTTTGGCAGGTGCTCCTGACGCCTCTATGCCTGTGCAAAGCAACCTGCTCTCTGCTGCATGGTCTTGACGCCGCCCTGCGGCCTGTGTCTCACCCTGGTGTCTAGAAGAAAGCAGCGTGGGCAGCAGTGGGGACTCTGGGGACGACAGTGACAGCGAGCATGGAGATGGCACAGACGGAGAAGACGAGGGGGCGTCTGAGGAGGAAGACCTGGAAGACAGATCTGGTGAGACAGCTGGTGTTCACGCCGGCTCCTGTGTTTCCTCTTGTCGTGATGGGGACAGCCTTTTATAACACATCCTCCGTGAGAGTGCTGTCACCACAGCTGGCCATGTCCCTGCGGTCACCTACGGTGAGGCCTTATATTCAGCTGTGGTGACGGCTCACTTTATTTGTAGTACTTCATTTCTTTTTTTTTTTTTTTTTGAGACAGGGTGTCGCTCTGTTGCCCAGGCTGGAGTACAGTGGTGCCATCTCAGCTCACTGCAACTTCTGCCTCCCGGGTTCAAGTGATTCTCCTGGCTCAGCCTCGTGAGTAGCTGGGATTACAGGCACGCACCATGACACTTGGCTAATTACTTTTTGTATCTTTAGTAGAGACGGGGTTTCACCATCTGGTCTGGAACTCTTCCTGACCTCAAGTGAGCCGCTGTGCCTGGCCTGTAGTCCTCCTTTTTTTTCTTTTTTGAGACGGAGTCTCGCTCTGTCGCCCAGGCTGAGTGCAGTGGCGCGATCTCGGCTCACTGCAAGCTCTGCCTCCTGGGTTCACACCATTCTCCTGCCTCAGCCTCCCGAGTAGCTGGGACTACAGGCGCCCGCCACCAAGCCTGGCTAATTTTTTGTATTTTTAGTAGAGATGGGGTTTCACCGCGTTAGCCAGGATGGTCTCGATCTCCTGACCTCGTGATCCGCCCACCTCAGCCTCCCAAAGTGCTGGGATTACAGGCGTGAGCCACCGCGCCCGGCCTTTTTTCAAGACGAGCCTGGCCAGCATAGTGAAACCCCCTCTCTACTACAAATACAAAAAATTAGCCGGGTGTGGTGGTAGACGCCTGTAATCCCAGCTACTCGGAAGGCTGAGGCAGGAGAATGGTGTGAACCTAGGAGGTGGAGGTTGCAGTGAGCCGAGATTGTGCCATTGTACTCCAGCCTGAGCGACAGAGCGAGACTCCATCTCAAAGGAAGAAAAAGAAATTCTGGCTGTCTGGGCGCGGTGGCTCACGCCTGTAATCCCAGCACTTTGGGAGGCCGAGGCGGGCGGATCAGGAGGTCAGGAGATCGAGACCATTGTGGCTAACATGGTGAAACCCCGTCTCTACTAAAAATAGAAAAATTAGCCAGTCGTGTTGGCACGCGCCTGTAATCCCAGCTACTTGGGAGGCTGAGGCAGGAGAATTGCTGGAACCCGGGAGTCGGAGGTTGCAGTGAGCCAAGATCGCCACTGCACTCCAGCCTGGGCAACAGAGCGAGACTCTGTCTCAAAAAAAACAAACAAAAAAACCCCACCAAAATTAGCCGGGCGTGGTGGTGCGTGCCTGTAATCCCCACTACTCAGGAGGCTGAGGTTGGAGGATCGCTTGAGCCCAAGAGGTCGAGGCTACAGCGAGCTGAGATCACGCCACCACACTCCAGCCTGGGCCACAGAGCGAGACTCTGTCTCAAAAAGATAAAAAATTCTCAGCTCACTTACAATTGGCTGATGGTTGTGCCCTTGAACTTCTTTTGAGAGAACAATGTTCCAAAGGGCAGGTCTGCGCTGGGTGTGGTGGCCCAGGCCCATGGTCTCAGCTACGCAGGAGGCTGAGGTGGGAGGACCCTTGAGCCCAGGAAGTTGAGGCTGCATTCCAGCCTGGGTGTTGGAGCGAGACGTTATCTCAAACAAAACAAAGGGGAGACAAGTCCGTGGGGTGCGCTGGTGGTACCTCCTTCCTTGTCCCCTGTTGCCATCACCCTCGGTGGTGCACAGCCTGTGAGGCCACCAAGGAGGTGGCCCTGCCCCGGCCCTGCTGTGGTTGCTTCCTCAGAGGGAGGCCGAGCTCAGGCTCAGAACTTTGCCTTTCCACTACTTTCCTTCTGACATCACCCTTGGGCTGGAAAATCCATGGTCCTCAAGTGGCTACTGTGATCTGTGTGTAGCAGTCTTTCTGCATAGCCCTGTGGTTATCAGGGTTAGAATGTTCCAGAAAGGTAACACTCCTGTTTGAGACTGTTGGTAAGGGAATGGCACTCATGGCCTGAGCCAATGTGTGTTGGCCATGTCCTTCCAGAGTTCGATGTTTAGCTCTGCACGTGCTCTGCGGGTCTGCTTGGGTCTGCAGGTCCTGAGGGGCTTCCCTGCTCCCTCCCAGCATCAGGTTAGGGCTCTGGTTCATCTGTAGTAGGTCTCCGCACCAGTTCTGGCGTTGCCAGGGCTGAAAGTGTGGGCCGTCAGGGCCGCCAGGTGACTCTGTCCTTGAGATCCTGAGGGCACATTGGATGCCAGAGACTCTGGGTTGGGGGCTGGAGTGAAGGTGGCGGGAGCCTCAGCAGGGCCCCCACCGTGTCTGCGCTCACCTTCTAGCAGCAAACAGTGCGCCAAGCAGCAGCTGGGGGACAGGGTCATAGACACTGAGAGCTGTGGGCGTCCAGGGGAGGGGCAGGCTCCATGGACCTGGGGTGGGGAGAGGCTTCTGGAGAATCCAAGCTGCCACCTGAGGGGCAGGAGGAGGTGGCTGGGCAGAGGCGGCAGGCCAGGACGGGGGAGCTGTGAAGAGACAGGTTTATGGAGACCTGGAGCCCCTGAGGGCTGAGCGCCCCGAAGGAAGGGGATGGGAAGGCACTGGAGAGGTGTTGGTATAGCCACTGTGAACACTTCTTTTTATTTCTCCAGGACCTTTTTTTTTTTTTTTTTTTTTTTTTGAGACCGAGTTTCACTCTTGTTGCCCAGGCTGGAGTGTAGTGGCGCAATCTCGGCTCACTGCAGCCTCTGCCTCCCGGGTTCAAGCGATTCTCCTGCCTCAGCCTCTCGAGTAGCTCGGATTACAGGCGCGCACCACCATGCCTGGGTAATTTTTGTATTGTTATTCGAGATGGGGTTTCACCATGTTGGCCAGGCTGGTCTTGAACTCCTGACCTCAGGTGATCCACCCGCCTTGGCCTCCCAAAGTGCTGGGATGACAGGCATGAGCCAACGCGCCTGGCCAGGACTGTTTTTTAAACATGAAGAAGTAGCCAGTGGGTCCCTAACTGGTGGGAAACATGTTGAGGAGGGAGTTATTCCACGAGCAACACCCACGTTGCTGGGGCTTGGGAGCTTTCGTTCTCATTGCTTTTCCCACCCTGGTGTTTCCTGCTGGAAATCACTTGTTACACTGCCCTTTCCAGCTTGAGGTAGTAGCCCTTTCCAGCTTGAGGTAGTAGCCCTTTCCAGCTTGAGGTAGTAGCCCTTTCCAGCTTGAGGTAGTAGCTCTTTCCAGCTTGAGGTAGTAGCCCTTTCCAGCTTGAGGTAGTAGCCCTTTCCAGCTTGAGGTAGTAGCCCTTTCCAGCATGAGGTAGTAGCCCTTTCCAGCTTGAGGTAGTAGCCCTTTCCAGCTTGAGGTAGTAGCCCTTTCCAGCATGAGGTAGTAGCTCTTTCCAGCTTGAGGTAGTAGCCCTTTCCAGCTTGAGGTAGTAGCTCTTTCCAGCTTGAGGTAGTAGCCCTTTCCAGCTTGAGGTAGTAGCCCTTTCCAGCATGAGGTAGTAGCTCTTTCCAGCTTGAGGTAGTAGCTGTTTCCAGCTTGAGGTAGTAGCCCTTTCCAGCTTGAGGTAGTAGCCCTTTCCAGCTTGAGGTAGTAGCCCTTTCCAGCTTGAGGTAGTAGCCCTTTCCAGCATGAGGTAGTAGCTCTTCAACTCTTTTTTTTTTTTTTTTTTGAGGTCGAGTCTCGCTCTGTTGCCCAGGCTGGAGTGCAGCAGCACGATCTCAGTTCACTGCAAGCTCTGCGTCCCAGGTTCACGCCATTCTCCTGCCTCAGCCTCCCAAGTAGCTGGGACTATAGGCACCTGCCACCGCGTCCAGCTAATTTTTTGTATATTTATTTATTTATTTATTTTTGAGACGGAGTCTTGCTCTGTTGCCCAGGCTGGAGTGCAATCGTGCAGTCTAGGCTCACTGCAACCTCTGCTTCCCAGGTTCAAGCGATTCTCCTGTCTCAGCCTCCCAAGTAGCTGGGATTACAGGCACACGCCACCACACCCGGCTATTTTTGTATTTTTTGTAGAGACGGGGTTTCACCATGTTGGCCAGGCTGGTCTCAAACCCCTGACCTCAGGTGATCCACCTGCCTCAGCCTCCCAAAGTACTAGGATTACAGGCTTGAGCCACCACGCCTGGCAATTTTTTGTACTTTTAGTAGAGACGGGGTTTCACTGTTAGCCAGGATGGTCTCTATCTCCTGACCTCGTGATCTGCCCACCTCAGCCTCCCAAAGATGCCGGGATTACAGGCGTGAGCCACCACGCCCGGCCAGTAGCTCTTCAACTCTTAACATGAAAGATGGGAACTTAAAACTCTTCTGCTGCCTCCCTCGCAGCTCTCACTTCTCCCAGCCTCTTTAACAGTGTAAATATTTCTGTTCTGGGTGTGTCTTTCCCTTTGCCAGATAACAGAGGGTCCTGGCAGTGATGCCCCAGTGCTGGCAGGGTCCTGCCCACATGCGTGGAACCGGGAGGGTTTGGAGGGTTTCGGGCCTAGGAGGAACCTGCCACCCACACCGAGTCTGCTCCTCTTCCCATGTGAACTTGTGTTCTGTTTACTTTAGCGTTGTTTCATTGGAGTTTGGTACAAAGAAGATAGCAGTGCACGTATGGGCTCTGCCGTGTTGAACTCGGAGCATCTCCCTGCTCCCTGCTGGTCAAGGTGTAGCCTCAGAACCACTCCGAATTGGCCAGAACGGTTGTGGTTAGTGGCCCAGTTAGGAGTCTGTGCTCTGCCTCCCACAGGGAGGAGGAACAGGCAACCTCAGAAGGAAGTCCCTTCCGCGGGCAGAGGGTTTGTGGTCCTCATGCTTTGAGAAGGGGGCGTTGGAAATGGGGGCTGCTGTCAGGGGGCTGCTGCACTGAGGGGCTCGCTTGGAGGCTCTGAAATGAACCTGATGGTCTCTGGGACCTGTGCTAGGCCCCAGGGCTGCCCTGCCTCTCGAGGTCTGCCTCAGCCCCAGGCTCAGCTTAGAGGAGCTGGTCTGGCACTCAGGACGCTCAGCTTCCCGCCCCTCGGTGCAGGGCACCCGAGGCTTCAGGTTAGGTGCAGGGCAGGGCTCCCAGGGTTGTGGATGTGCTGAGCGTGGACGTGGAGGTAAGTGGCAGGAGCCTGCGGGGAGGTGGGCTGTGCATTGCCGACCTGGTGTCCTGAGCGCAGCCTGGGCCCGCTTGCCTCCAGTGCCGCGGTTCACGCTGCCCATCCTGCTTGCACCAGCTGGCATGTTTCCTCTCCAGGTTCCGAGGATTCTGAAGACGACGGGGAGACATTGCTGGAGGTAGCGGGTACTCAGGGGAAACTGGAAGCCGCTGGCTCTTTCAATTCTGATGATGATGCAGAGAGCTGCCCAATCTGTCTCAACGCATTCAGAGACCAGGCCGTGGGGACGCCGGAGAACTGTGCCCATTACTTCTGCCTGGACTGCATTGTCGAATGGTCCAAGGTGAGTTCACCTCTGGTTGGGTGCTTCCTCCCTTCAGGATGGCCTCCCTGTTTATAGGTGACCCAGCCTGTGTTCAGCCTCTTGTGAGGTTCTAGTTGTCTGCTCTGCGGCTGACCCTGGGGCCACAGGATTGAGTCTGGCTTGGTCTTTGCTTTGTGAGCACCATGGCTCTTGGGGGTGTGGGTGAGCTCATGTGAGGCGTTTGTGGTGTATTGGTCAGGGGCAGGAGAGAGGATGGCCGTGGGTCTCCCAGGACCAGCTGCAGAAACCCTGGTTGACATAGGGGCCATCTTGGCCTGCAAGCCAGAGGCAGGTGTGCTGTGGTGCGTGGTCACTTTGCTGCCTTGACATGTGGTTCTCTCAGTTGATACAGAAAACACCGGTACGATTTGGCATTCATTCACAATAACTGGCATCAAAAGAGACTGTCCTTAAAACAGGTGAATAGAGTTTACCGTAAACGTGCAGTGTATTTTATATTTCAAAATGAACTTTTAGAAGCAGTCAGCTCCCCCCTCCCTTTCTGAATATTGTGAAAAATGTCAGAAAAGGAGAGCTTGCAGTCTGAGGATGACTCATGAGTCCCCGACCTCTGTACTCAGGGCTCAGCTCCGACACCACTACCTCTTGACTCCCTCCCCTCCCTGCGATTGCACCAGCAGCCCGTGCTGTCCCCGGCTCTCTTCAGGACCGTGACCTCACCCAGGGTTCCTAGTGACTGGGTCCTCCTGTTCTGTTTCACTGAGTAGCTGAAAACTGCCTGTATGCTTAGTTTGAAGCAGGACCCAGACATTCCTCATGCTGCTGGTGGTGGCAGGCTGTGATGTCACCCAAAGTCTGGCTCTGGTACTTCCTGTTCCTGTTCTGTTGTGGTGGGTCCACAGCACACAGTAGATTCAGACTTAGACTTTTCTTTTTTTTTTTGTTTTTTTGAGACGGAGTTTTGTTCTTGTTGCCCAGGCTGGAGTGCAATGGCGCGATCTTGGCTCACCACAACCTCCACCTTCCGGGTTCAAGCGATTCTCCTGCCTCAGCCTCCCGCGTAGCTGGAACTGTAGGTGCCCACCACCACGCCAGGGCAATTTTGTATTTTTAGTAGAGACAGGGTTTCACCATGTTGGTCAGGCTGGTCTTGAACTCCCAACCTCAGGTGATCCACCCGTCTCGGCCTCCCAAACTGCTGGGATTATAGGCGTGAGCCACCACGCCCGGCCATTTTTATTTTTATTTTTTTTTGTAGATTTTTCTTTTGGCAAGTGAAGCTTTCATTTAAATTGAGGAACAAGATACAGTGTTTGCTATGTATTTTCTGTCTGGCATTTATTAGATAAATATTGGGCAGAAGAGGGCATTTGCAAACAAGTTTGTCAGTATAGAAATCTTACAAATGGAACCGGGTGCAGTGGCTCACGCCTGTAATCTCAGCACTTCGGGAGGCCAAGGTGGGTGGATCATGAGGTCAAGAGATCAAGACCATCCTGGCCAACATGGTGAAACCCTGTGTTTACTAAAAATACAAAAATTATCCGGGCGTGGTACCACGTACCTGTAGTCCCAGCTACTCGGGAGGCTGAGGCAGGAGAATCACTTGAACCTGGGAGTTGGAGGTTGCAGTGAGCTGAGATTGCACCACTGCACTCCAGCCCGGCGACAGAGCAAGACACTGTCTCAAAAAAAAAAAAAGGAGAACTCTTACAGATGAACTGTTAAAATGCTGCTTAGCGAGATTATTGGATACGAGGTTAATAAAGATTAAAATTGTGTTTAGAAATAAGTCATAAGGAGACGTGTAAGACATTTAAAGAGCTTTTCTAACACAGCCGTGACTGAAGCAAGGCCCCTTCCCTTTCGAGACATCTTGCTCCATAGAGAGGTTGAGGATGCTGATTCCGTCCTTCCCAGCAGGAGTTCAGGGTGCTTGATGTGTTGTGAAGTCAACACAGGAGGACAGGAAGGCACCAAGAATTGCCAAGATAGCTTTGAAAAGGGGAGAAATTGCCTACTGGATATTATGATTTATAAAACTACAGGGATTGAACTGGAACCGGTCCAGGAATGGAAACCAGTCCCAGGGGTTTTGCAGGGGCTTAGAAGAGGCCCGGACACACTCGGGGGGAGACAGGAGGCGCCTGTGGGGCAGGTCAGCTGGGGGCTGCTCACAGCACACACACGATGCCGGACGGAGTCAAGATCTCGGACTAGAAAGCAAAGCTGAACCTTTGAAAAGAAAGCATGGGTAGCTCTGTGATAAGAAAAGAGAAGGATTTCCTAAACAGTCTGAGAGAGTGTCTGCAAACGGGCACGGAGCATGTCAGGCTCAGCCTGAGAGGGTGTCTGCAAACGGGCACAGAGCGTGCGGGGCTCAGCCTGAGAGAGAGTCTGCAAACGGGCACGGAGCGTGCGGGGCTCAGCCTGAGAATGTCTGCAAACGGGCATGGAGCGTGCAGGGTTCAGCCTGAGAGGGTGTCTGCAAACGGGCACGGAGCGTGCGGGGCTCAGCCTGAGAGTCTGCAAACGGGCACGGAGCGTGTGGGGCTCAGCCTCAGAGAGTGTCTGCAAACGGGCATGGAGCGTGCGGGGCTCAGCCTGAGAATGTCTGCAAACGGGCATGGAGCGTGCAGGGTTCAGCCTGAGAGGGTGTCTGCAAACGGGCACGGAGCGTGCGGGGCTCAGCCTGAGAGTCTGCAAACGGGCACGGAGCGTGTGGGGCTCAGCCTCAGAGAGTGTCTGCAAACGGGCATGGAGCGTGCGGGGCTCAGCCTGAGAATGTCTGCAAACGGGCATGGAGCGTGCGGGGCTCAGCCTGAGAATGTGTGCAAACGGGCACGGAGCGTGCAGGGTTCAGCAGCAGGGCTCCTCTGGGAACCCCAGTCCCACCATGGGGGGTGCTGCCGCACACCCCTGGAGCTGGTCGGTAGGAGGGCACCCCAGACTCCAGAGGTGGGGGTGTCACACGTACAACCTCAAAGGCCATGTATTCCTGGGTGTTTACCCAAGAGAAACAGGAGTGCGCCCACACGAAGACACGTCCATCGATGTTCACCACGGGGGAATGGACACGTGGACCATTTGTGTGGCAGTGTCTCTTCAGTGCTAGGGAGGGCAGAATGCCATGAGCAGAGTCCATGCTGCGGCTCCAATCCTGAGAAACCCCAGGGAAGACGTACCTAACCACACCCCTGAGACAACAGGAAGAAACAGTCAGGTGGGAGAGGGAAGGGCCCGAAGACCAGGGTGGGTACTCCACAGGTTGTATATTTGTCAGAGCCGATTGAATTATTCAGTTAAAATCAGTGTTTTCTTGTGTATGGTGTACGTTAATAAAGCCAACATAAAGATCTTATGTGGGTCAGAACACTATTAATAAAGGCAAAAATAAATTTGCAACGTATACCTGACTGTTATCCATACTATGAAAGTAAATTTTTTTTTGAGATGGAGTTTGGCTCTTGTCACCCAAGCTGGAGTGCAGTGGCGCCATCTCGGCTCACCGCAACCTCAGCCTCTCGGGTTCAAACGATTCTCCTGCCTCAGCCTCCCGAGTAGCTGGGGTTACAGGTATGCGCCACCACACCTAGCTAATTTTGTATTTTTAGTAGAGGCGGGGTTTCTCTGTGTCAGTCAGGCTGGTCTCGAACTCCCGACCTCAGGTAATCTGCCTGCCTCGGCCTCCCAAAGTGCTGGGATTACAGGTATGAGCCCCTGCTCCCGGCCTATGAAAAGAAATTCTAAAAATTTACTAGTGAATGTCCAACAATCTTTTGGAAAAGTTAGCAGAAGACTTGAACAGGCTCACCGCAGAGGGGCCTGTGCACAATGCCGCCCCCACGCCTGTCCTTCCTCCCTTTATTGTTCTTACTTGTCACTGAGATGCTACGCGTTCATGGAGCTGCTCTTTCCTCCCCGCTAGGGCTGGCAGCTCTGCAGGGAGGCAAGGCTCGCTGTGCTCCCTCCACTGCCGTGTTGCCAGCAGCTTAGTGGAGGGCCTGGCGCATGGAGGCATTTAGCAGATACTTGATTTTCAGTGTAAAAGAATTTTTGATCTCTAAGTGAAAGTGATTGACAAGATTCTGATCCTGTTTTTATTTCTCACAGAATGCCAATTCCTGTCCAGTTGATCGAACTCTATTTAAGTGCATTTGTATTCGAGCTCAATTTGGTGGTAAAATCTTAAGAAAGGTGAGTGTGGACGCTGCCGTGGAGGCCCCAGCCGTGCTTCTATCCCGGCCCTGTGGGACAGAGCATGCTTTCCAAAGTGGGCTTGCTCTCCTGAAATGAGGGTTGGTTAAATGCTTCATAGAAATCAACTCAAGTGCCCCTTGTGGCCATGAGCCCTGTCTGGGGGGTTTGGGGTCTGGGTTGGGGGTTAGAGGCAGAGATATTGCCAGCTCCTGGGATATCCCTTCGACCCCACCCCTGTACCCATCACATCTGGGAGCAGTGCTCTGGCCCGTCTGCTCGGAGCTCTTTATTTTTGAGACACCATCTTGCTCTTTCACCCAGGCTGGAGTGCAGTAGCACAATCACAGCTTACTACAGCCTCAATCTCCTGGGCTCAAGCAATCCTCATGCCTCAGCCTCCTGAGTAGCTGGGTCCACAGGCATGAGCTACCACACCCGGCTGTTTTTTTTTTTTTTTTTCCCGAGACAAGAGTCTCGCTCTTTTGCCCAGGCTGGAGTGCAGTGGCACAATCTCGGCTCACTGCAAGCTCTGCCTCCTGGGTTCACGCCATTGTCCTGCCTCAGCCTCCCGAGTAGCTGGGACTACAGGCACCCGCCACCACGCCCGGCTAATTTTTTGTATTTTTAGTAGAGACGGGGTTTCACTGTGTTAGCCAGGATGGTCTCGATCTCCTGACCTCGTGATCCACCCACCTCGGCCTCCCAAAGTGCTGGGATTACAGGCGTGAGCCAACGTGCCCAGCCTTTTTTTTTTTTTTTTTTAAGAGGCAGATCTTGCTCTTCCGTGGCAGTCCAGCACCTGCTGCCTCGCCCTACTGCGGCCCACTTTGGGGCCGCAGGGCTTACCCGCTCCTTTCCGTGCATCATACTTTGTTTTCTGTTGAATACTTTCCTCTTAGATCACCACCCTGAGATGGTAGAAAACATAAAAATCCCTGTGTACACGTGGAGGGAGACCCTCTGGGCCTGTGGAGCCCAAATATGAATCTAAGGCAATGGGTGGATTCTGGATTAACTGCGTTTCACGCTGGGAAGTGACTGCGGGGAGTTTGGGTCCTGTGTGGTGGTGACCGACGATTCTGTCCTAGATCCCAGTGGAGAACACCAAAGCGAGCGAGGAGGAGGAGGACCCGACCTTCTGTGAGGTGTGCGGCAGGAGCGACCGTGAGGACAGGCTTTTGCTCTGCGACGGCTGCGATGCGGGGTAAGGGACGGTTGGGACTGGCACACGTGCCCTGCTGCGTGCAAGGCGGGCCAGGCGCAGGAGGGATGCAGAGCCTCTTCGCTCTGTGAAGTCTGAGTCCCAGCACCTGGAGCTGTGCTCACCACCCTCAGCAGCGCGGTTCAGTCCTGCGGGCCTTCCTGTTACACTCATTTACACTTCAGTCTTTCCCCAAAAAACATTCTGAGGCTGCCCACAGAAGTGCAGGTAATACATCAAGACAAAAAAGAAAACAGCCGGACAGGAGGCTGTGGGGCTGGTCAGCCAGAGGGTGGGACGTGTCCTGGTCCCGGCCTTTGTGGGGGAGGGGTGGCTATGCCTGCGTCCATCATTCTGGCTGCCTTGGTCCCTCACCTTTCACCCTGCTCCTCCTTCACCCTCTGGTGCATGTCCAGTTATGCTGCACCTGCTGCTCTCCCTGGCACAGCTGAGAGCGCCTGCTCTGGCCCTGCGTGGCCCTGGCTTCCCGGGAGCCTGTGACACTTGTCTCCTCATCCCTGCTTTGTGTCGTTGGCTGTAAGCAGATGCCCCCTTCCCCGTTAGCCTCCTGCGAGGGGCTTTCCCTGTTGATTTGAATAATTTTTCTGCTGTGAAATTATGGAGAGAGGATTCTGGAAATCTTTCCCTTGTTGAAAGAACCAGTGAGGCTGCTCGATCTGGGGCCTTCTCTTGGGTGGGAAGTAGCTGGGTCAGGGTTTGGACTACGGAACAGCCGGAGCCAGGAGGCCTTGACGTGCCGCGGCTGGAGCCGCACCGAGGATGGGCTCCTGGTGAAGGCCTTTGCTCTGTGGCGGGTGGTCCCGGTCGTCCCAGCTTTGACTCGTCCTTGAGCACAGCCGCTTGTGCCCCCACCTGTCACCTCGTTGTTAGCCACATACCCAGGCCTCTGCTCCACTCACGCTGTTGTTGGTGCAGGAATCGCTGGCTGTCCTTTTGCAGACACTGCAGGGGCCTCCTTGGGGGTCCTGCAGGCGGCCACCACGTTTGTCTCATCGTCAGTTCGCCCTCCTCCTCATGGCCTGTGGGAGTACAGGGGCCTTGCAGTGCGCTCCGCCGGCCCTTCCAGGTCCCCAGCCCCTGCTTGGTCCTGCCCTCTGCTCCCAGCAGCCGGGAGATAGCCACGCCTCTGCTCACATTCGCAGACACCTCGCCGTCCCTCCTTTCTCACGAGTCTGAGCCTAAATCCATGTTTTGTGAGTTTCCTGAGTGCTCTGCCCTGACGGTCCTCACCTCCTCAGGGTTCCTGGGAGCGTCTGCTGCCAGTTGCCCCGGCAGGCACTGAGTTGGTTGCTGTGAGTCTGAAGGGCAGGGCTGCTGCCTTGACTATCCCAGCAGCCTGGTCATTGCAGCCCTGGGCACAGTGCTTATTGGCTGTTGATTACTGACTTACACCGTGAATATATGCAGAATGCTTAAAAAGAAAAAAAAAGGTGGAGGGGTGGCTCAGCACTCCATGCCCATGTGTAGGACTGGTCCTCTTTTGTCCTCTTTACCTGTGGCTGCGGCCACTCTGGGCATGTGAAGGAAGGGCCTGGGCTGGCCTGGAATCGCTGGACACGGCCTGAGAGACCATGGCATGATAGACCTGGTCCTGGTCGCCACAGGCACCGTCTTGGGCAAGGCCCTCATCGCAGGCCAGGGCCGTGAGCCTTCTAGTGGCTCGAGGGCAGCTGGTAGGCCAGTTTTCACGCACAAAGCCTGGTTTTCCTGTTAGCTTTTATTTTACTCATTTACTTATTTTTTTCAAGGCAGAGTCTTGGTCCGTCATCCAGGCTGGAGTGCAGTGGCGCCATCTTGGCTCACTGCAACCTCTGCAGCGAGTCACTGCAACCTCTGCAGCGAGTCACTGCAACCTCGGTTCAAGGTTCAAGTGACTGTCCTGCCTCAGCCTCCTCAGTAGCTGGGATTACAGGCACATGCCACCACACCTGGCTAATTTTTGTATTTTATGGAGAAACGGGGTTTCACCATGTTGGCCAGACTGGTGTGGAACTCCTGGGCTCAATTGATCCGCCCACCTCGGCCTCCCAAAGTGCTGAGATTAAAGGCGTGAGCCACTATGCCCAACCTAGTTGTAGTACCTTCTAACAAGGCTCTTGGGAATGTTTACAGCTTAATTAAAATTTTTTATTATAAATTACATTTACAAACTTGATATATTGATTTTCTTTCTACCTACACTACTTGAATTACTTGGCAGATAAAACAACGCAAGTACATAAAAACCCTGGTGGATCTAAAACATTAAAACTGATCAATATAACGATTCTCATACTTCTAAACATTTCCATACTGTTACAATTTGCAGTCTGCCAAATTTTCAGTTAAGTCTGACTTAAAAATCACACGTCTAAAATTACTCAGTTCCTCATGTCAAAATGGAATCACAGTAGGCCGAGGCGGGTGGATCACCTGAGCTCAGGAGTTCGAGACCAGCCTGGCCAACATGGCGAAACCCCGTCTCTACTAAAAATATAAAAATTGGCCGGGCGTGGTGGTTCACACCTGTAACCCCCGATCCTTGGGAGGCTGAGGCACGCGAATACCTTGAACCTGGGAGGCGGAGGTTGCAGTGAGCCGAGATTGCGCCACTGCACTCCAGAGAGACTAAAAACAAAAAACAAAAAAACACTATCTGTAGATACACTGACATTACATGAAATAAGATACAGTTTCTGATTTTTTTCTTTTTTAAGTTACAATCTAATTTAAAAGTGTGTGTTCACCAGGGAGGCAGTGCAGGGGCTCACTGAGGCCTGTTAGGTGTGGCCCTCCCCTCCCTGGGCAGGTCAGATCTGAGCACCTTCAGCTGCAGGGCCACCAAGCTCCCTGTGCAGGTGGAGCCATGGGTGCCTGCACCGTAGCTGGGCAGGTCTCGGCAGCCCTCCTTGTCCCCGTGCTCGTATTTAAACTTGCAGCCAATCTCCTCTTCTCGGGGATGAGTGTGGGGGACACAGGCCTGGCCTGGCTGTGGATGGGCGCCTGCCAGGCGCAGAGGGGCCTTCTGCTCGGGCCTCAGGTGAGCCGCAGCCTCCTCCAAGGCTGCTGGAGCTCAGTGGTGGGAAAGTGGGTTGGACGTTTTCAGACTTTGGAATTCTTTGAAAGAAGGTACTGCTCATCCTTGCCTTTGTCCCCAGAGAACTTGTATAAGAACAGATGTTAGGGGACCTAGTTAGGCTCTTGGAGTGCCCCCACCCGCCGCCCCCCTCTGCTGGCCTGGCAGGGCGTGTCGTGTGCCCGGGGCAGTCGGCTTCTCTTCCTGCATGCCTGTCTCCTGTCTTTCTTGTATGGCCCTAGCAAGGGCCACACAGCAGACACCTTCTCATAGGTGCAGGACTCTTGGGAGAATGGGTTTACTCTTGTTTAACTCGTATCTTAGATCCTAGAACAGTTCAGCCCGTGGTAAGTGGTAGTTAAGTTCAGTTGAATTCAGGCTCAATTTTCAGGGAAATCATCAGCTTGACTCCCTTCCCTTGATTGTTTTTGCCTTACTCAGGGCTGTCTGGGGTCTTTGGGATGAAGTTTCAAGGATCTTTGCATAGACTCCCGAGCCTCGGCTGCTTGGAGGGGCACATATACCTCATACCAGTGGCAGCACTTCCCAAACTACCTTCCCAGAAGGCTCGATAGAAACAATTAAAACATAGTTTCCTTTCAGCAAAGAAACCTTCGCCTTCTTCAGTGGCTTGGTGTGAGGTGCAATGTTTGAAAACCCGGGAGTGAGGGTGGGGGAGACAAGCTCTCTGGGAAGGGGGCCCCACAGGCAGCACCTACCGCAGGAGCTCAGTGTGAGCCACTGTCGGCCTGTGGGTGTGTGTCGTGTGTCGCAGCCAGCTCAGTTGCTGTCAGGATACCACAGGCTGGGCAGCGTAAACCGCAGGTCTTCCTTTTCTTGGTTTTGGAAACTAGACATCTGAGATACCAGCAGGCCTGGTTCCTGGGGAGGCCCCCTTCCTGACTTACAGACGGCCGCCTCCCCGCTGTGACCTCACCTGGCCTTCCCTCATCTAAGGACACCAATCCTATAACCTTAAAGGTTCCATGTCTATCTGCTGTCACATTGGGGGTTAGGGCTTCTTATGAATTTTGGAGGGATGTGGGTCAGCCCATAACAGAATGCATCGCAGACTTGGGTGCCATCGGAGGCCTGCTTTGTGGTCCCCTCACTTGAGGAGGTTTGGGAAAGCTGTGAGCAGCACCCGGATGCTTTGGCCCTGCTCTCTCCTGTAGGTACCACATGGAATGCTTGGACCCCCCTCTCCAGGAGGTGCCGGTGGACGAGTGGTTCTGCCCGGAATGTGCTGCGCCTGGTGTTGTCCTTGCCGCTGGTAAGGACACTGCTCCCGTCCCAAGGCGCACATGGGCCTTCTCACTGTCCACTCTGCGGTCCCCGGGGTTAGGTTTGGCTGCTGTGTGGGGAGGACATCTAGGGCTGTCTCATGGGGGTTAGGGTTGGCTGCGGTGTCGGGAGGACATCTAGGGCTGTCTCGGGCTCGTCTTCTCGGGGATGTGTGTGGGGTCCATTGGCTGGGGGGTTCCGGTCCTCAGTGTTAGGAGCACCAGGCTCCATGAGCAGCCCTGGGTCCTGTGCACAGGTCAGCCCGAGCCAGGGCTGCTACTTGGCCAGCAGCCACAGGGGGAGCCGTTGGGGGAGGCGTGTGGCCTGTGAGTGTGGCACATCAGCCCTGGTGGTTCTTCCCAGATGCGGGTCCCGTGAGTGAGGAGGAGGTCTCCCTGCTCTTGGCTGATGTGGTGCCCACCACCAGCAGGCTTCGGCCTCGAGCAGGTAGGACCCGGGCGATAGCCAGGACACGGCAGAGTGAGAGAGTGAGAGCAACCGTGAACCGGAACCGGATCTCCACGGCCAGGAGGGTCCAGGTGGGTGGCCCAGCCCTGACGCCAGTCGTAGAACCCCAGCTGCCCAGAGTGATCTCGGCAGTCTGGGTGGGTGGGAGGGGCGTCGTCGGCACTGTGGGGTCCGCCCGGCCCCGGTGGCTCATGTTGTTCGGCCTGCTGAGGGGAGCAGATGAGTGCACCCCAGGGTGACCCCAGCGGCCCAAGGTGGGGCTGCCTCTGAGCACCTGGAGCCAGGTATTGAGGGGCAGGTGAAGCCTGGCCCTGGCGGGGTGGGGGCTCTAGGAAACCCCCCTTGTTCCCCAGGCCCCATGCCAGCACCGCTCCCTCTAGGCACCTGTGAGCACCTTCCTCTTGCACTGGACCTGGTGCTCGGTTTCAGGTGCTCCCTGCAGCCTCCGTCCTGACAGCAGCCTTTCCCTGGGCATTGGACAAGCAGGAGGGTCTGGGCTGTGGGCATGTGGTGTGTGCCCTTGGCAAGCCTAACGCTGAATTTGGAGTGGACTGAGAAGGCTGGGTGGGGAGGGGGCTGTCCCTGTCCAGTGCCCTGCCCAGTACCTGCGCCACCCCCGCCACAGTGACTGGTGCCCTCTCGTGTGCCCCTGGGATGCTGTCTGTCCCCCACCCGCCTTGCCCCCGTGGGAGTGCTTGGCAGCCTCTGGCAGGGGAGAGGAAGGCCGGGCCGTGGCTGCTGCAGTGGCGGGTGGGGAGGCTGTCCTGCTTCTCTGGCTGCCATTGTGGGCTGTGTTCTGGGCTCCATTTGGGGTCTGTGCTGGACCGGCTGAGGCCCCAAGGGCATCTGACGGCACCACCCCTTTGCCTGTAGCACACACCAGGGCGCCTCGGGTCTTCCCTGCTGGATGAAGCCATCGAGGCTGTGGCGACTGGCCTGAGCACTGCCGTGTATCAGCGCCCCCTGACGCCGCGCACTCCCGCCCGACGGAAGAGGAAGACAAGTAAGCCTGAAGGGATGGACTCTCCCGCCAGCCACAGGCTGGGACCCACGCCCGAGGTCCACTCACTGCTTCCCTCAAGGCTGTGGGCATTTCCATTTCTTCTTTCTGCAAGTTAATCTTCTCTGCTGAAAACACTACACAGAAGCCGCGCCGGGCCCGGGAGGTGTGGGTCTGATGTGCCGATCTGCGACCACGCTGCCTCTGGCATTGTGTCAGGGTGATGCCGGCCTTCCCGCATTGTTCCCCTCTGCTTTCTGGAAGGATTGCATCCTGAAGTTTATGGAAGCAGTCTTGTTATTTTTGCTGTAAACATTTGTCAGAATACGCCCTGAAGCCATCTGGGCCTGGGCTTTTCTGTGGGGGCCGAGTTGAGATCAGTGATTTCGCATCTTGTCTTGCTTCTGCCCTGTTCAGGTTTTCAGTCCTTTTCTCTGTGAGTTTTGGTAATTTTGTCCCAGTGCTGGTTAACTTTGATGACTTGGTTCTCAGAGGTCCACTGTGAAGTGACTAATTCTCCCTTAAAATTAACGGGCCGCTCCTGGGGAGAGCCGTGGACTGCACCTTGTCAGACACCCCCGGCGCTGGTGCGCGTGCACATTTGGCTCTCAGAAGAGCATTCCCTTTCCCTCGTGGGGATTTAAGTCACTGTAGACGCATGGACTCCTGCTTTACTCAGTGCGTTCTAATCTGTGATCTTTTAGAAATTAACTGTATTGAAGCATGCATACTTTTTCTTTTTTTTTTTCTTTTCTTTTTTTTTTTTTTTTTTTGAGACAGAGTCTCGCTCTCCCAGGCTGGAGTGCAGTGGCATGATCTTGGCTCACTGCATCCTCCACCTTCCGGGTTCAAGTGTTTCTCCTGCCTCAGCCTCCCAAGTAGCTGGAATTACAGGCACCCGCCACCACACCCACCTAGTTTTTGTATTTTTAGTAGAGATGGGGCTTCACCATGTTGGCCAGGCTGGTCTTGAACTCCCGACCTCAGGTGATCCGACCACCTCAGCCTCCCAAAGTGCTGGGATTACAGGCCTCTGAGCCACTGCGCCTGGCCTGAAGCGTACGTGCTTTTTATTAAGTGAATGCACTCGCTTTAGTGTGTAGTCCTAGGTTTGACAGACGTAACTTCCATTCCAGCCAGCACAGAAATAGTTATGAGACCACACTTCAGCCCCACCAGCAGCCCTGTGGCCATGTGCATCACTGTGTGTCGGTCGTGCTGGTCCTGGGGCTCCAGGGGACTCAGTGTCTGTGGGTCTGGTGCAGGGTCCTGGGTCTCCAGAGGACTCGGCGTCTGTGGGTCTGGTGCAGGGTCCTGGGGCTCCGGGGGTCTCGGCGTCTGTGGGTCTGGTGCAGGGGCCCAACTTGCTCCTTTTGTTCAGCACAGTACTCTGGGAATCTCTGTAATTACCTGTGTCTGTGGCTGATTTTTTATTATTGAGAAATATTCCATTGTATGAATATACCACAGTTTGTCCTGTTGATGGGCGTTTGGCTGGGTGTTTTTTGCAGTTAAAATTGTTTTAATCTTTATGTCACTACAGATGTGCAGTGAGCTCATTTGTGTTAAAGTCTCAAGCAGTCCACCTGCCTCGGCCTCCCAAAGTGCTGGGGTTACAGGTGTGAGCCATGGTGCCTGGCCCTGATGAGAACTATGTAAGATATCTAATGGTGCACTCAGGGATGTCAGGCTCTGTTCTTCGGTGCAGCTCATTTTCTGTGTCTCTCCCCGATAGGAACACATTATTTTTATTCCTTTTTTTTTTTTTTGAGACAGGATCTCATCTTGCCCAGGCTGGAGTGCAATGGCGCAATCTCAGCTCACTGCAACCTCTGCCTCCCAGGCTCAAGCAATTGTGGTGCCTCAGCCTCCTGAGTAGCTTGTAATCCCAGCACTTTGGGAGGCTGGGGCAGGTGGATAGCTTGAGGCCAGGAGTTTGAGATGGCGCCACTGCAGTCCAGCCTGGGTGACAGAGTGAGACTCTGTCTCCAAAAATATATATATATATATATATATATGGTTTATTTCTCCGTTTAAAAATCTTTGACGCCGGGCACAGTGGCTCGCACCTGTAATCCCAGCACTTTGGGAGGCTGAGGCGGGTGTGTCACCTGAGATCAGGAGTTCAAGACCAGCCTGGCCAACTTAACAAAACTCTGTCTCTATTAAAAATACAAAAATTAGGCCAGGCATGGTGGCTTACACCTGTAATCCCAGCACTTTGGGAGGCCGAGGTGGGCGGATCACGAGGTCAGGAGATCGAGACCATCCTGGCTAACACGGTGAAACCCCGTCTCTACTAAAAATACAAAAAATTAGCCGGGCATGGTGGCGGGCGCCTGTAGTCCCAGCTACACGGGAGGCTGAGGCAGGAGAATGGCGTGAACCTGGGAGGCAGAGATTGCAGTGAGCTGAGATCACGCCACTGCATTCCAGCCTGGGTGACAGAGCGAGACTCCGTCTCAAAAAAACAAAACAAAATAATACAAAAATACAAAAATTAGCTGGGTGTGGTGGCACATGCCTGTAATCCCAGCTACTTGGGAGGCTGAGGCAGGAGAATCGCTTGAACCCAGGAGGCGGAGGTTGCAGTGAGGTAAGATCGCACCAGTGCACTTCAGCCTTCGTGACAGAGCAAGACTCCGTCTCAGAAAAAAATTTGGGCAGGCGTGGTGGCTCACACCTGTAATCCTAGCTCTTTAGGAGGCTGAGGCAGGAGGATCGCTTGAGCCCAGAGGCCAGCCTGGGCAACATGATAAGCCCTATCTATAAAAAAAATTAGCTGGGCACGGTGGTGCCTACCTGTAGTTCCAGCTGCTTGGGAGGCTGAGGCAGGAGAATCACGTGAGCCCAGGAGTTGGAGGCTGCTGTGAGCTGAGATTGTGCCACTGCACTCCAGCTTGGGTGACAGGGCAAGATCCTGTCTCAAAAAAAAAAAAAAAAAATTGCAAGCCGGTGCGTGTGGTCCCGCTGTACCGGCTCCTTGGGCTCCGTCCACTGGGCTGGACTCACAGGAATGGGGCAGGGAGGGCCCAGCACAGAGAAGCACAGACTTCAACCTCTTTTCCTTAGGAAGACGGAAGAAAGTGCCGGGAAGAAAGAAAACCCCGTCCGGACCATCCGCAAAAAGTAAGAGCTCAGCGACAAGATCTAAGAAACGCCAACATCGAGTGAAGAAGAGAAGAGGGAAGAAGGTAAAGGTGAGCATTGGGTGGCAGGGCCTGAGTCTCCTGCTGGCCACAGCACCCTCGCGTGGTTACGGAGCAGGGCCTAAGCCTCCCGCTGGCCTTGGCACCCTCGCGCGGTTATGGAGCAGGGATCATCATCGTCTTTGCTTTTCTGTATTTACTCAGTGATTTGCTGATGGAAATGAACATTTCTGTAGCACAGACTGAAGATGGGGTTGAGGCCAGCTGTTTCCTGAGGCACACTGAGGGGTTGAGGGGTGGTCATGTGCCCCCAAGGAACCTTCCTGAAGCCATCAGCTGGTCGGGGAGCCAGGTGTGAGCCAGGCCAGTGCAAGCCCTCTGGCAGAGGCCCCCAGGAGCAGCTGTGGGTTTCAGGCAGGCCTGGCCAGCCTGGCTCTGAGGAGTGACACAAGCCGTGTCTGACAGGCCCTGTCCACCTCTTCTGACCCATGTTCGCTGGGCCCTGGGAGCGGCCTCCTTGGTATACGTCGTGGCGTTTGTTGTCCTAGGCCCTTTCCATCCAAAATCATGGACCAGACATTTAATATTCATTTTTAGTTGATCCCTAATTATTGTCTGTGTTGATGGGGTGGAGGGTGGTGTGTCATTCGTGTGCATGTTTGTGATGCTCAAACCGGGACTAAATGTATCACCTTGTCCACTCGGACTGCACATTTAAAACACCTTAATATGTAAAAACTTGAATTACGGCCGAGCGCGGTGGCTCACACCTGTGATCCCACCACTTTGGGGGGCTGAGGCGGACGGATCACCTGAGGTCAGGAGTTCAAGGCCAGCCTGGCCAACATGGTGAAACCCCATCTCTACTAAAAAGACTAAAAATTAGCTGGGTGTGGTGGCAGGCACCTGCAGTCCCAGCCTCAGGAGGCTGAGGCAGGAGAATCACTTGAACCCTGGGAGGCAGAGGTTGCAGTGAGCCGAGATTGCACCACTGCACTCCAGCCTGGGAGACGAGAGCAAAACTCTGCCTCAAAAACAAAACAAAACAAAACAAAACTGAGTTGCAGCCATTGTTCAAGTGTTTGCTGAATCTTTTTTGGTTTTGTTTTTGTTTTTTTTGTTTTTTTTTTTGAGATGGAGTCTCACTCTGTCCCCACGCTGGAGTGTAGTGGTGCGATCTCGGCTCACTGCACCCTCCACCTCCCGGGTTCAAGTGATTCTCCTCCCTCAGCCTCCTGAGTCGCTGGGATTATAGGCGTGTGCCACCACGCCCAGCTAATTTTTGTATTTTTATTAGAGATAGGGTTTCACCATGTTGATCAGGCTGGTCTTGAACTCCTGACCTCGTGATCTGCCCACCTCGGCCCCCAAAGTGCTGGGATTACAGGAGTGAGCCACCGTGCCCAGCCTTTGTTTTGTTTTTTGAGATGGTATCACTCTGTGGCCCAGGCTGAAGTGCAATGGCTCAATCCCAGCTCACTGCAGCCTTGACCTCCCCAGGCCCAGGTGATCCTCCCACCTCAGCTTCCTGAGTAGCTGGGACTACAGGCATAGCCCACCGTGCCCGGCTAGTTTTTGTATTTTTCGTAGACACAAGCGTTCGCCATGTTGCCCAGGCTGGTCTTAGACTCCCGGGCTTAAGCAGTTTGTCATCTAAGCCTCACAAAGTGTTGTTTGTTTGTTTGTTTTAGGTTGGGGCGGGAACAAAGTCTGGTTCTGTTACCCGGGCTGGAGTGCAGTGACATGATCCTGGCTCACTGCAACCGCCTTGACCTCCCAGGCTAAGGTGATCCTCCCACGTCAGCCTCTCAAGTAGCTGGGACCACAGGCTCACGCCACCTCACCTAGCTAATTTTCTTTTTTTGGTGGAGACGGGGTCTCACTGCGTTCCCCAAGCTGGTCTTGAACTCCTAGGCTCAAATGATCCTCCTGCCTCAACCTCCCAAAGTGCTGGGATTACAGGTGTGAGCGCCAAGTCTGCTGCATCTTTATGTGAATTTATACTCAAGATTATTGTTTATTTCCTAGTAAATATAAACTCATATAATACATATTTATCTAAAACCATATTTAAGTTTGTTTTTTTTTTTTTTTTTTTTTGAGATGGAGTTTCGCTCTTGTTGCTGAGGCTGGAGTGCAGTAGTATGATCTCAGCTCACTGCAACCTCGGCCTCCCAAATAGCTGGGATCATAGGTGTGTGCTACCACGCCCGGCTAAGTTTTGTATTTTTAGTAGAGATGGGGTTTTGCCATGTTGGTCAGGCTGGTCTTGAACTCCCGACCTCAAGTGATCCACCCACCTTGGCCTCCCAAACTGCTGGGATTCCAGGTGTGAGCCACCATGCCTGGCCCTCTTATTTTAGTTTTAAATGCATTATTCGAACATCCGATCTGTTTATTCATTCAGACAAAATTCCTGGAGTAGAAGCTAAAGCCATGACCAGGTGTTGGATAAGGACCTGCTATTTCCCAGTTCTCAGGTCCCCTGGGCTCTCCCTTTGCTTTGCGGGGTGCCCTGAGCCTGGGTTGGAACCTCGTCTCCCATCCCTGTGCCCAGAACACTCCTGGGCGTCGTCCTGAGCTTTTTGTCCTGCATGCTGTTTCTGTGGTTCCTTTCTTCTGCAGACAGTGTTCTGGGACCACAGCCTGGGGGCCCGATGGCACGTGAGGGTGTTCACCCTTGGGAGGGGCGACGCCTGCCTTCAGGCGATGAAGTCCCAGCCACAGCGGGAGGCTGCCCTGTCCGCTCTGCCTAGAATCAGAAGGAAACAGCTAGTAACTCTTAGGGTTTTTAGGAATTTAGGAATAATGACAGCGCTTAAAATCTAAATTTGTGTCATCTTCTCAAGGCTTTTTTGGTGTTCTTGTTTGTTTGTTTTTGAGACAGAGTCTCGCTCTGTCCCCCAGGCTGGAGTTACAGTGGTGCAATCTTGGTTCACTGCAACCTCTGCCTCCCGGGTTCAAGCAGTTCTCTTGCCTCAGCCTCCTGAGTAGCTGGGATTACAGGCGTCCGCCACCAGGCCCAGCTAATTTTTGTATTTTTAGTAGAGATGGGGTTTCACCATGTTGGCCAGGCTGGTCTCAAGCTGGCCTCAAATGATCTGTCTGCCTTGGGCTCCCAGAATGCTGGGATTACAGATGTGAGCCATCAAGGGGTTTTACTGTCAGTCATCAGTTGAATTTTTTGTTTCCCTCTTTGTGAGTTTTCACTTAATGCTACTACGACGTGATGGTGACACTGCAATGCCCGAGAGCCTCTGGTAGCCTGCAGGAGCTTCACGGCCGATGTGTGCGGCATTGTTCCTGCTTGTCGGTCATCATGCCTGAGAAGCCCATTGACTTTGGCTTAGTATTTTCCGGCTCTAGTGTTCACTGTTGCTGATGAAGGCTTCACGTGGCATTTACAGAGCCCTCGTAGATGCCATCCCCGTCTCTCTGTTCATCTTTTTCTTTGTTACTGGATTCAGAGTGAAGCCACCACTCGCTCTCGAATCGCGCGGACGCTGGGCCTGCGCAGGCCTGTTCACAGCAGCTGCATCCCGTCAGTGTTGAAGCCAGTGGAGCCCTCTTTGGGGCTGCTGAGAGCGGATATTGGAGCTGCCTCTCTGTCTCTGTTTGGAGATCCTTATGAGCTGGATCCCTTCGACAGGTGAGTGAACTGGTGATGGTCCTGCCTGGGCACCCGCTCCTCTCCCTGGGGGCTGTGGGCACGGGGCCCCGAGGTGCATGCGGAGGCGTTAGGTTTTGTGTTTGAGAGTGAGGGTGGCCATTCCTCCCACCGCCATACGGTGCAGGTGGGTGGCGTGGAACTCAGAGGTCTGGTTCGGGGCCCGAATCACACGTGCCGCCACATGGCCAGTGCTCGGCCATCCTCCTCCGTGCCGTCTCCCTGGGCTGGGGTTTCTGGGAGCTGGGAGTCACTTGTTCCCTTTGGCCTGTGTCCTCCCCTCTAGCAGTGAAGAGCTTTCTGCAAACCCTCTTTCCCCTCTGAGTGCCAAGAGACGGGCTCTGTCCCGGTCAGCCCTGCAGTCCCACCAGCCCGTGGCCAGGCCCGTCTCCGTGGGGCTTTCCAGGTGTGTGAGGGCAGAGGCTTCTGGGGAGGTGGGGGCAGCAGTTGGGCATCGGATGGGAGTTCTAGGGTGGGGCCGTGATAGCCTGGCTCTCTGTGGCCCTGGGTGGCGTCAGCACCTCCCCTCAGCTGTCACGCTCATCAGTCGGCCCTTGGCGTGAGGCAGTGCTGCAGCCCATCCTGTGTCAGAGGCCACGGCCTGCCTGTGAGCGTGGACTGGGAGTTGCTGCAGCTCCACGAGGTGGCCCCTCTGCCCCCCACCCCGGCCTGAGAGCCACCAGCACAGGGACACCGCCTCGGGCAGGAGCAGTGGCCCTGGTGAATAAGGCTGTCATCAGAGGTCACCTTTTGGCCAGTTCTTTTGTTTCGCCACAAGAACAAAAAATTAACCAAAACCAACAAAACAGGTAAAGGTGCTTGTCTGCCCCCTCCCACCTGTTGGTGGAGTTGGGGGTGGCAAAGGCACCAGAGGTGACTTCTCCCAAAAACGCCTGGTTTCCCTGGGGCCAGAGCTGCGAGGTGGGGCTCCCTCCCTCCCTCCCTCTGGGAGGCCCCGGTGAGCACCTCTTAGAACAGCAGCCGGAGCCAGGGCTGTGGGGGAGGCGCAGGCCCGGCCCAGCCCCACTCTCCCTGGCTCCCGCCTGCTGCGGGGCTCTGCCTGGGTGCGGGCCCTCAGGCCGTGGGAGGCAGTGACGGCAGGGCCTTGGGTCTGTGCCCACAGGAGGCGCCTCCCTGCCGCGGTGCCAGAGCCAGACTTGGAGGAGGAGCCAGTGCCTGACCTGCTGGGCAGCATCCTGTCGGGCCAGAGCCTCCTGATGCTGGGCAGCAGTGATGTCATCATCCACCGCGACGGCTCCCTCAGCGCCAAGAGGGCGGGTGAGTGCCTTCCCTGCCACGGCCCCTTCCTCTGTGGGCTGCTGGTCCTCAGGCTGTTCCCAAGCACTCAGCCCATGTCTCAGTCACGGAAGATGTAGCTGAAGTTGGGGGGACCATTCCTCAGCCATTTTTCTGCATTGATTTCCCTTCTTGAGCAGTTTCTCAGTTAGCTCCGAGTTCTTACCCAGCCCCACAGCTTCATGTTCATAAGAACATGTCCTGATGGGGTACTGCCCCCGCCCCTGGTTAATATCGTGTCCTGATGGCCTCAGGCACTGTACTTTGTCATCCACAGAGTGGCTGTTGAAGCAGCTCTCCGGGTGTGGAAAGGCGAGGTGTCCACCTCAACAGGCAGACAGGAGTTTAAAGCGCACGACCTCACAGAAAACCAGTTGTGATAAAAATTAAACCACTGACATTTAAGAAGAGTGGGTGGGAAATGATTGCCATTGACTTTTTTGTTTTTTAGCTCCAGTTTCTTTTCAGCGAAACTCAGGCAGTCTGTCCAGAGGGGAAGAAGGATTCAAGGGCTGCCTGCAGCCCCGAGCACTGCCCTCCGGGAGCCCGGCCCAAGGCCCGTCAGGAAACAGGCCACAGAGCACAGGGCTCAGCTGTCAAGGCAGGTCCCGCACCCCCGCCCGCACCGCGGGGGCGCCTGTGAGGCTGGACTTGCCAGCAGCCCCTGGGGCGGTTCAGGCTCGGAACTTGTCAAATGGGAGTGTGCCTGGCTTCAGACAGAGCCACAGCCCCTGGTTCAACGGCACCAACAAGCACACCTTGCCCCTTGCCTCTGCCGCGTCTAAGATCTCAAGCAGAGATTCTAAGCCCCCATGTCGCAGTGTGGTGCCGGGGCCTCCCCTGAAGCCAGCGCCCAGAAGAACAGACATCTCTGAGCTACCCAGGATACCAAAGATCAGGAGAGATGACGGTGGTGGCAGACGGGATGCGGCCCCGGCCCACGGGCAGAGCATTGAGATCCCCAGTGCCTGCATCAGCCGACTGACTGGCAGGGAGGGCACCGGGCAGCCAGGGCGAGGCACACGGGCAGAGAGCGAGGCCAGCAGCAGGGTGCCCCGGGAGCCCGGGGTGCACACGGGCAGCTCCCGGCCCCCAGCCCCCAGCTCCCATGGCAGTTTGGCCCCACTGGGACCATCAAGAGGGAAAGGGGTCGGGTCGACCTTTGAGAGCTTCCGGATCAATATTCCTGGAAACATGGCACATTCCAGCCAGCTCTCCAGCCCTGGCTTCTGTAACACGTTCCGGCCTGTGGACGATAAGGAGCAGAGGAAGGAGAACCCCTCACCCCTCTTCTCCATCAAGAAGACGAAGCAGCTGCGGAGCGAGGTCTACGACCCATCCGACCCCACCGGCTCCGACTCCAGCGCCCCTGGCAGCAGCCCCGAGAGGTCTGGCCCCGGCCTCCTGCCCTCTGAGATCACACGAACCATCTCCATCAACAGCCCGAAGGCCCAGACGGTGCAGGCTGTGCGCTGCGTCACCTCCTACACGGTGGAGAGCATCTTTGGTACAGAGCCCGAACCCCCTCTCGGACCGTCCTCCGCCATGTCCAAGCTCCGGGGTGCAGTGGCTGCCGAGGGGGCCTCTGACACGGAGCGAGAGGAGCCCACAGAGAGCCAGGGCCTGGCTGCCCGGCTGCGGAGGCCATCCCCCCCAGAGCCCTGGGATGAGGAGGATGGGGCGTCTTGCAGCACCTTCTTTGGCTCTGAGGAGCGGACGGTGACCTGTGTGACTGTCGTGGAGCCGGAAGCCCCACCCAGCCCGGACGTGCTGCAGGCTGCCACCCACAGAGTCGTGGAGCTCAGGCCCCCTTCCCGGTCCCGCTCCACATCCAGCTCCCGCAGCAGGAAGAAGGCCAAGAGGAAGAGGGTGTCCAGGGAGCACGGACGGACGCGCTCTGGGACGCGCTCTGAATCCAGGGACAGGAGCTCGAGGTCAGCGTCACCATCAGTGGGTGAGGAGCGCCCCAGGAGGCAGCGGTCCAAGGCCAAGAGCCGGCGGTCCTCCAGTGACCGCTCCAGCAGCCGAGAGCGAGCTAAGAGGAAGAAAGCCAAGGACAAGAGCAGGGAGCACAGGCGGGGCCCCTGGGGCCACAGCCGGAGGACGTCCCGGTCGCGGTCGGGGAGCCCTGGCAGCTCTTCCTATGAGCACTATGAGAGTAGGAAGAAGAAGAAAAGGAGATCAGCGTCCAGACCTCGGGGAAGGGAGTGCTCCCCCACCAGCAGCCTGGAGAGGCTCTGCAGGCACAAGCATCAGCGGGAACGCAGCCACGAGCGGCCAGACAGGAAGGAGAGTGTGGCGTGGCCCCGAGACCGGAGGAAGCGGAGGTCCCGGTCCCCAAGCTCGGAGCACAGGGCACGGGAGCACAGGCGGCCTCGGTCCCGTGAGAAGTGGCCGCAGACCCGGTCCCATTCCCCAGAGAGGAAGGGGGCTGTGAGGGAGGCTTCCCCAGCGCCCCTTGCACAGGGGGAGCCAGGGCGGGAAGACCTCCCCACCAGGTTGCCAGCCTTGGGGGAAGCACATGTCTCGCCGGAGGTGGCTACGGCCGACAAGGCCCCCCTGCAGGCTCCCCCTGTCCTGGAGGTGGCAGCTGAGTGTGAGCCGGACGACCTGGACCTGGATTATGGCGACTCCGTGGAGGCCGGACACGTCTTTGATGATTTCTCAAGCGACGCCGTTTTCATCCAGCTCGATGACATGAGCTCGCCACCTTCTCCCGAAAGCACAGACTCTTCCCCGGAGCGAGACTTCCCACTGAAGCCTGCGTTGCCCCCAGCCAGCCTGGCCGTGGCCGCCATCCAGAGGGAGGTGTCATTGATGCACGATGAAGACCCTTCGCAGCCCCCACCCCTGCCAGAGGGCACCCAGGAGCCACATTTGCTCAGGCCGGACGCGGCTGAGAAGGCTGAGGCACCCAGTTCCCCGGATGTGGCGCCTGCGGGGAAGGAAGACAGCCCCTCTGCGAGTGGGAGGGTACAGGAGGCAGCCCGGCCTGAGGAGGTGGTTTCGCAGACCCCCCTGCTGCGGTCCAGAGCCCTGGTGAAGCGGGTCACCTGGAACCTGCAGGAGTCGGAGAGCAGCGCCCCCGCCGAGGACAGAGCCCCCCGTGAGTAGTGCCCCGGCCCCCACCGAGGACAGAGCCCCCAGTGAGTAAGGCCCTGGCCCCCGCCGAGGACAGAGCCCCCCGTGAGTAAGGCCCCGGCCTCCACCGAGGACAGAGCCCCCCGTGAGTAGGGCCCTGGCCTCCGCTGAGAACAGAGCCCCCTGTGAATCTGACTCCTGTCAAGGACAGGGCCCCTGAGTGAGTAGGGCCCCGGCCACCACAGGGAGCTTCTGGAGCCAGGGAACACTGGGATAGTGGGTGTGGGGGTCTCCTGCAGGTGGGCAGAACAGGTCATGGTCGGGGATCAGTGGCTAGGAGCTGGCACACCTCGCAACCTCCCCTTGGTGCTGGGGGTGGATCTGAGGGCTGCTCTGTGGTCCTTGCTCCTGGTGCTTTTCTGGATTTTTCCAGCCATGAAACAGCATTCTGGGCAGGGGTGGGCACAGAGCACCCACCTCCCTGTCTGTCGGGCCCCCAGGGGCACCACTTCACAGGCCACAGAAGCCCCGAGAAGGAGCCTGGGACATGGAGGATGTGGCCCCCACAGGGGTCAGGCAGGCGTTCTCCGAGCTGCCCTTTCCCAGTCACGTGCTTCCGGAACCCGGGTTCCCAGACACAGACCCCTCTCAGGTGGGTGTCTGGGCTGGAGGGCTGTGGGCCGTGGGCAGTGGCCTGGCACCCGTGCCACACACACCACACTAGGCTGGGGCTGAGGCCTCACAGCTCCTGGGCACAGAGCTGCTAGCTGTAGGGCCCAGTGCTCAGCAGGGGTGTCCCTCCCAGGTTTACAGCCCCGGCCTGCCGCCTGCCCCGGCCCAGCCCTCAAGCATCCCACCCTGCGCACTGGTCAGCCAGCCCACGGTCCAGTTCATCCTTCAGGGGAGCCTGCCGCTAGTGGGCTGTGGGGCAGCACAGACCCTGGCCCCAGTGCCCGCTGCCCTGACCCCAGCCTCAGAGCCAGCCAGTCAAGCCACTGCAGCCAGCAACTCGGAGGAGAAGACCCCGGCCCCCAGGCTAGCTGCGGAGAAAACCAAGAAGGAGGAGGTGAGTCCTGCCTCCTCCCACTTTCCCCATGTTCCCATCTTACTTTGAAACTAAAGTTGTTGGGGCTGAGTTTATGGGCGGAAGCTGGTCGCTGTGCCTCTGGAACTGCAAGGGTGTCCAGAACCACAGTGCCTCTGGCCAGAGGGACTCCCGGCTCCCTTCCTGGCCGCATCACACACATGTCCCCTCTAGTACATGAAGAAGCTGCACATGCAGGAGCGTGCTGTGGAGGAGGTGAAGCTGGCCATCAAGCCCTTCTACCAGAAGAGGGAGGTGACCAAGGAGGAGTACAAGGACATCCTGCGCAAGGCCGTGCAGAAGGTGGGCTGTGTGCGAGCCTGTGTGTGGGGCTCGGGGTCACGGGCGGTACGTCGCTGCTGTCTCGTCAGCATGGACTTTGGGGTGGCCATGAGTGCAGGCCCGAGGTCAGCCAGCCAGGTTAGGGGTCAGGGGGCTGTATTGCCACATCCTGTAGGCCTGGGGTCAAGCCTGTTCGCCTGTGGCTGCCCCTGGCAGATGCTTAGGAAGGAGGGTGCCTCAGTGCACCCTGGGTAATTTAAAACTACCCAGCCCACGCCCAGCTTACAGGTGGGAGAACGACCCCCAGAGGTGAGCAGTTGCCTGGTGACGTCTCAGCCCATGCTCCCCCCGCCCACCGACACCGTGGGACCCTCAGTGGCCTTGTGAGCGGCATAGCGAACAGGACGGGGGTCTCACATAGGTGGGGCGGCCTCTGCCGCCGTCTGTCTGCGTGCTGCACCTAGGGCCTGCTCCTGAGCAGGGCAGGCGAGGGAGCCCAGCTTTGGCCCTGGGCTCTGGCCCGGAACATCTGGATGTGAAAGGGCATTTGGTGATTGCACCTCTTTCTCCAGATCTGCCACAGCAAGAGTGGAGAGATCAACCCCGTGAAGGTGGCCAACCTGGTGAAGGCGTACGTGGACAAGTACAGGCACATGCGCAGGCACAAGAAACCAGAGGCCGGGGAGGAGCCGCCCACGCAGGGGGCCGAGGGCTGAGGCCAGGCAATCACGGGCTATGCCCGGGGAGCTGTCGGGAGTGGCGGGAATCGGGGCCATGCCCGGGGAGCTGTCGGGAGTGGCGGGAATCGGGGCCATGCCCGGGGAGCTGTCGGGAGTGGCGGGAAATGGGGGGCATCACCATGCCTGCCGTCGGGTTCCTGCGCTGACACCTGGTCTGTGCACCTGTGTTGCTCACAGTTGAAAACTGGACACTTTTGTATGTATATTATAGAGACACTGTTTCCATTCTAATTTATCAAAAATGGATTATCTTTAGAAACCTCTTGATTGACTTACTACTTGGAAGATAAAGCACTTGGTGATCAAGAGGGGCTCCTGGTGGGGTGGCGCGTCCTTGATAAATCTCTAGGTGGCCTCCCGCCAACAGCTGCTGTGTACCTTTGGCTCTGAATTAGGAATATCTTTACTTTCTCTTTTCCAATTATGTTGTGCTCTTGTAAATAATTGCTCGAGTTTGCACTCAACACCGTTGCCTCCTGGAGGCAGGGTGCAGCAGTGGCAGCCTGAGGGCTGGCGACAGGTGTCCTGCATGGGGAAATGCTGTCCCTGCCCTTGGCACAGCTGGTGGGAGTGGCTTTGGCGGCCACTGGCCTGTCAAGGGTCTTGTTCTTTGAGTCAAAGCTTGGCTGTGATGTGTGTGGTGAAGACAGAAGTGAGTTGGTGTGCAGGGAGGCCGTGGAGGTCCCCTCCCTCCCTGGGCCTCACCCGTGTTCAGCCTGGACCCAATTCCCCACCAGCCAAGATGCCAGTACGTGTTCTGGAGTTCTTTTTATTAGACTGGGCGGCCGCGGCCAGCTCTAGGTGGGCTGCTCCAGCTTTCTGGAGTTCTCATTAGACTGGGTTCTAGGCGGGCTGCTCCAGCTCCATAAGGAAGCACTCGATGTCGTCATAGAGGCTGTTGGCGCTGGACAGGCAGAGGCTGAGGCTGCTGCTATCCAGGGAAGACACACCCTCACGCTGCGTGCCCTCTAGGTGCACTCGGCACAGCCAGGGTTCCAGCTGCCAGGAGGGATCGGGCGTCTGTCAGTGACCCGGCGTGTGTCCTCCCCTCCCCCTCCCCAGGCTCTGAGGGCGTCGGGCGTCTGTCAGTGACCCGGTGTATGGCCTCCCCTCCCCCTCTCCGAGGCTCTGAGGGCATCAGGCGTCTGTCAGTGGGCCTGAGCACATGGCCTCCCCTCCTTGAGGCTCTGGTCTCACCTTCACCAGGACCAGGCTCTTCTCCTTGGGCCTCCCAGCTGACAGGTCCTGCCCGAAGCCCAGGTAGATGGTATAGCGTGGGGAGCCACGGCGCTGCCGTGCCCGGAATTCCACCAGCTCTGAAGAAGGGGACTCTGCTGAGTACCTGGCAGGCAGGTGCTCCCAAGGACCCCTGGAGACAGCCCCCCAGGCAAGGGCCTCACTGACCTTGGAAGAAGACTCTGAAGTCGAAGATGGGGGTGTCACAGTTCCGAGGCAGCAGGCAGGCTGGGGTGGAGGGGCTGGCGGAGCCTGGGGGTCCGCCCACCTCCCAGTACACCTTGCACTTGCCCATGCGCCGGGCCCACAGCTGTGGCCCCCGAAGCTCCAGGTGCAACCCAGGGGCCACGTGCCGCAGCAGTTCCTCCGTGTAGCGCAGCTGCTTCTGGTCCGGGAGCTCGGCAGGGCTGGGGAATGCTACCTGCTGGGGGTCTGTGGCCCGGACAGCTGGGTCTGGGGGGCCGTATAGGAACGTGCAGCTCGGGTGTCCCACCACCTTCTGCAGCACCGTGCGGCCCTTGTACATGATGGTCACGTCCAGCGCCCCTGGGCTGGGCTCTGTGTGGAGACCAAGCTGTGAGTGACGGGGGTGGGCGGGGACAGGCTGTGAGTGACGGGGGTGGGCGGGGACAGGATGTGAGTGACGGGGGTGGGCGGGGACAGGATGTGAGTGATGGGTGGGCGGGGACAAGCCGTGAGTGACGGGGGTGGGCGGGGACAGGCTGCCCCTTCCTGGGATGCACTCACCTTGCACCGCGGTGCAGGCGCTTGGGGAGGGTGACAGGTACGGCTCTGCCTGGTGCGGGGACTCTGGGGCCGCGGCCTCGCCTGCATCCGGAAGGGAATCCTGTGCTGGCACCTCATCCCTAGCCTCTCCCTGTGCCCCAGGCCTCCCAACCCCTACCCCTCTCACCTGTCGTTAGTGCCGCGGGCTGGGGCCCGGGGCTGGGGGTCGTCTCTACTGCCCACCCGTACAGCTCCCCAGCAGGGAGCCCTGGGCCTGAGGAGGGGAGGACAGTGGGAACGGTGGTCCCCTCCTAATTCTCCAGCTCCCCAATCCCCAGCCCCCTTCTAAAGTGTCCGTCCAGGTGCACTGGCCCCTCCCGCGCTCCCCCCCTCCCCGGGCACGCCCACACCTCCAGCACAGGCCCCAGTCAGGGGAAGCCCTTCTTGTCCCTCTCCAGGAGCCTTGGTTGGGACTGGATCTGCCCCCCATGACGCTGTCAGCAGATGGTCTGCCAGGCAGCTCTGTTGCACTGCCTGGAGCAGGAGGTCCCCCTTGTCACCAGCTGGGGCAGGGAGGGGGCCTGGGGCTTGGAGTCCAGCATGTGTGTGTGCCAGGAATGGCCCTGGGGGCCCACCCTGCAGGGAAAAGTCAGGGTGAACGTAAGCAGCTCCGCGGCCTGGCAGGAGGAGAGGCAGGCAGAGAGAAGGGTACCTGTGGTGGTGGGACAGCTGCGGGGGCCTCTGCCTCAGTCTGGTCCGTGCCTGGGCCTTCTGAGAGAGAATGGGGCAGGCGTTAGGCCCCGACACCAGAGTGAGAGATACAAGGAGAGCCTGGTGTAGCCCCCACCAGCTTCCTGGCTGTGAACCCTTAGGCTGTGGCCTGAGGAGGTGGGGATGTGGCTCTCCACCTGTCCTGGGCCTGCTGGCAGCCTCTCCCAGAACAGCTTCTAAAACCACAAATCTGACCCAGAGAATGTTCCCCTTTGCCCAAGCAGGACGAATGCCAACGCCCTTGGCAGCCGGCGTCGCTCACCTCGCCAGCACAGCTCCCGGCTGAGCGCGTACACCTTGTGCGGGTCGGCCGGGTCCCCCGAGTTATCTCGCAGCATCACGAAGCGACGCGTGCTGCGCAGTGCGCAGCGGAAGTTGGTTTTCCAGCCGGCGCGCTCCGCAGTCTCAGCCTCGGGGGGCGGGCCACCTCCCCTGCTGCTAGGCGGCCACCTGCCGCGGGCCACAGCCCAGGCCTGAAGAGGGGGACAGAACACGTGTGCCGGGCCCGCGGGGTCCTAGGCGGGCTCTCCCACCCGGGGCGGGGCGGGGCTGGGGTCCCCACCTTGAAGATGCGCGCGTCGGCCTCGCTCAGGTCCTTGCGCGCGAAGTGCTTCCAGGGCACGCGGAAACAGGTGCGGGCCTCGTCCAGCCACTGCAGCCCCTCATAGCAGCCGCTGCTGATCTCTCCAAGGAGCCACTCTCCGAACAGCACGCGTGGGGCTGCCCTGCGGGTGCCCGGCCGCGGAGAGTCAGGGCCGGCTGCAGGGCGCTCGGGGACTGGCATCTGGAGAGGGTGGGCCGGGCTCTTACCTCTCAGGAGCCAAGGCCATTGCTCCTTCTGCAGGGGCAGTTAGGTGGCGGTCAGGTGTTATAACAGGGGAGGTAAGGGCTCCTGTCGCAGCAGACGCCAGGCCGCGGCCACAGGTCGTGTGGCCAGGTGTCACAGGTGTCCACAGGTGTGGACTGAGGGCTTGTAGCCACCGACGCTGCCTCGGTATGGATCTCTTGGCAGAGGGGGCTACAGGTGTGACTGCAGGTGTGGCCGGCGCGCACACATGAAGTCACAGGTGTTGAACCAGTGTCCAGGCCTGGCGGGAAGGCGCAGGCCGGACCCTGCGGAGACGGGAAAGGCGACGTCAGGGGCGGGTCAGGCTCCCGGGAAAGCGAAACCTAAACAGTGGCGCTTCGCACCCTCCTCGATCCCACCCCGTCCGGTTCTCAGCTCCGCGGAACCCCGCCTCCGCCTCCGCCTCCGCCTCCCTCCCCGCCCGACCCTCATCTCTCAGGCTCCCCCAGCTCTTGGCTCTACCCCTCCGGGGTCACGGAGCCCCCACGGAGGCTCTCGCTCCCGGCCTGCACCGCGTGGGTCTGGGGTCCCCAGTACCTGGGTGCCAGAGCCGCCGGGACGGGAAGTTTCGTCTCGCGGGGAAGCGGAGGGCCGGCGCTTTTATGGTGGCCAGGCGGGAGTTTCCGGGAAGGGCGCGCGCCGCCTGTTCTTATTATTGGATGCGACCAGCGGAACCCCGCCCCGGCCAGCGCGGAGTAGGGAGGAGTGGAGGGCGTTGGGAGTGGCTGCAGTGAGCCGAGATGGAGCCACTCCACTACAGCCCAGGGGACAGAGCAAGACTCAGTCTCAAAAAAAAAAGGAAGTGGGTAATGGGAGGTGGACGTGCCTCGAAAAAGGGGCAGCTGCACCGTTTGCGTTTCTTTTTTTGAGATGGAGTTTCGCTTTTGTTACCCAGGCTGGAGTGCGGTGGCACAATCTTGGCCCACCACAACCTCCGCCTCCCGGGTTCAAGTGATTCTCCTACCTAAGCCTCCCGAGTAGCTGGGATTACAGGCATGAACCACCACGCCCGGCTAATTTTGTATTTTTAGTAGAGACGGGGTTTCTCTATGTTGGTCAGGCTGGTGTCGAACTCCCGACCTCAGGTGATCTGCCCACCTCGGCCTCCCAAAGTGCTGGGATTTAGGCGAGAGCCGCCGTGCGCAGCCCCCTTTGGGTTTTTTACATTGTTCAGTCAAGAATATCAGATACTCTCACAATTAAAACATTTGGAAAGGAATTAATGGTGTATTTCCATTAGGGAAAGTGCTGACAAGCCGCAAGGGATCCCTTGATGGTTCTGGGCATGGGCGCCCAGCCTGGGCTCTGGCTTTGGGAGCAGCGAGGGGAATGTGTCTCTCACCCCTAGGCCTCCTGGTCTGGCTCCTGCTCAGGCCACACGGCGCACCCACCCCCAGCGCGCCTCAGTCCAGGTCACTGGGCAGGGTGTTTACTGCTGCGCTCCAACCCAAGCATGTAGATTTCAGAAGGGGACTAGGACCCCCGGCAGGTGTTTGAGACCACCGGCTCCCAAGTGCGTCGCCTTGGGGGTTTGCATCGGCTCCTCAGCCTCCCCAGGCAATCTCTGTGTAGGGTCGGGAGCGGGAGGTCTGAGTTGAGCCGGGTGCCTGAGATCTCCGGTGCAGGTCGGGGGAGGGGAGCCCCCCTCGGGCTGTGGTTAGAGCGGGAGAGGAACTTCCCAGACTAGCTGGCACAGAGCCTCGGGAAGGCGGCGGGCACTGCAGGTGGTTTACGGGAAGTGCTGCAGCCTTGGGGTGGGGACAGCGTGGCCAGACCCACCGCCTCATCTGCACACCTGGGCTCAAGCGCTAATGACGACAGGGGACTGAGTGAATGGGACCCCCATGGACCCGCGCGCCTGCCCCACGCCATGGCCTGGGTTTCGGGAGCCTTGCTTTATTCTGCCTCGGGTCGGAGGCTGGGGGAGCGAGACCTCCAGTGCCCGTGCGGCTGGGGGAGAGGGTGGAGGGGCCACTTAGATGTAGGAGTCATCACCACCGGGCGCATCGTAGGGACCCCCACCCCTCCCCGCGCCCTCGCCCTCATCGCCGCTGCCGGAGTCACTGGCGCCATCCACGTCCAGGGTGGGCGCGTTGAGAACGACCACGTCTGCCTCCGTCCCGATGTCCTCGCCAAACCAGACAGCCTTGTACCCGCCCTCTGGCCGCCGCTCCTTGGTCAGGATGGACCTCACCGCCGTGGGGCTTCCGCCAGCTCGGGCCGCTGCGGGGGGCTCAGGGGCACCGCCTGGGGAGGCAGGGCCGGGGGGTGCGGGCTCTGCGGGCATCGGTGCCTCCGCGGGCTTGGGGTCGTGCGTGGGGCTGGGGACGGGCGCCCAGTTGGCCTTGTGGTCAGGGAGGAACGCCTGGTTGTCAAAGCCTTGGGGCTGGGGCTCCTGCAGGCGGGAGTCGAGGCGTCAGCGGGGTCCCTGGGTCTCTGCAGCCTTGGCCCTGCACACCCTCATTCCACGCTGGACACCCCTCCGTCTCCACATCTGTCCCTCTGCCCTCCCCTCTCCTGTCCCCCGTCCCCCACTTCCTGCCTGGTCGCCTGCCCTGTTCTCCATCCTGGGCCTCACCGGAGCTTTGCCAGAGCAGCACTTGAGCCGGGGGCCATAGTGCTTGTGGACAAGGACGGCGAGGCCAAGGAGAGCCAGCAGCAGCAGCGCACCCAGCACCCCGCCCAGGGCCGCCATATCCACCACCGAGAAGCGCTTGTCCTCCGAGGGGCCGCCACCTGGCATCGCAGTGGAAAACGTCATCATCCCCGCACTGTTGAGTGCCCCAGGCATTTCCCGTGCCAACCTGTGCCAGGCTTGGGACACTTGGGTTCCACCCAGGCCTGGGCTGTCTCCCAAATCTCAGGCTCTGCTGACCCTGGCTCAAGGGGCCTGTGTGTCCCATCGAGACCCTGCCCACCCCCTCCCCCCCGGGAGGCCAAGCTGCTCACAGGAGCTCACAAGAGGTGCAGGGACTTGCAGGGTGAGCGGCAGCCGTGGGAATCGTGGGATTCGCTGGACCCCACATCTGGCCTCTGTCCTACACACATCACAGGTTACCTCACTGGGGGCCTTGGGCCTGTCTGTGTCTGTCAGTCCCAAACAGACTCCTCTTTGGGATTTCATGGTCAGGCCAGGTCAGCCTGGGGTGGACCCTTCCTACAGCGTTTCCCATACCAGCCAATGACCGGAGTCAGGGAGGGAAGGCAACAGAGTGGGTGCTACCTGAAGATGGGGTGCTCTTGCTGAGGGGCATCGGCTGAGAGGTTCCTGGCTCTGGGGTCTGTGCTGTGCCCCCACCGGGTGTGGTTGGTTGGTGGGAGGTGCTGGTTCCCATACCGGGGGGCATCGGCTGAGAGGTTCCTGCCTCTGGGGTCTGTGCTGTGCCCCCACCGGGTGTGGCTGGTTGGTGGGAGGTGCTGGTTCCCATACTGGGGGGCATCGGCTGAGAGGTTCCTGGCTCTGGGGTCTGTGCTGTGCCCCCACTGGGTGTGGCTGGTTGGTGGGAGGTGCTGGTTCCCACACCGGGGGGCATCGGCTGAGAGGTTCCTGGCTTTGGGGTCTGTGCTGTGTCCCCACCGGGAGTGGCTGGTTGGTGGGAGGTGCTGTTTTCTGCACCCGGGGACCCCCCGGGTGTGGACGAGGTTGGTGGCCTCAGAGTTGTGCCAGAGGGTGGATGAGGGCCTGTGCCTCCCCCAGAGCTGGTCGTGGAGGGTCCCTGGGAGGGCTCAGGGGGTCTGGGGACCTCGGAAGTGGTGCTGGTCCAGGGCCCAGTTGTTCCTCCAGCCTCTGGGGATGGGGGGACATCTGGGGGCCGGGAACAGTGCTTGGGCTTGCCTCTGCCCGCCCCTTGCACACCTACCGCGGGAAAGGAGCCACCGAAGGGGCTTATTTGGAGAACCCTGGGGGCTCACCTGTGGAGGGGGGCTTACCTGTGGAGGGGGGCTCCTGTTCGGAAACTTGTATCTCAATGACTGTGGTTGCGGTGCCAGAGGTCACCGTGTTGTGGGCCTCAACCTGGGGCAGGAAGGGGCTTGTCCCTCCTAGACACATCTTTAAGCCCCACACCCTTGGAGATGCCCGCCTGCCCTGCCCCGCACCTCTGCGTAGAAGGCTCCCGCCTGTGCCAGTGTGGTGGTGGTCAGCACAACCTCTCCCTCCATCCGGAAGTGTGAGTGGTTGGTAATTCGATATGTGATGGCCGAGTTGAGGTCCTGGACAGGGTCTCATTGAGTCCCCGGCCAGGCTGCCTCCCACGTACAGCCCTGACCCACCCACAGAGGGGAGGCCTTGGATGCACTCTCTACCGAGAACTCCGGGTCCTGAGCCTGGATCCTCAGAGGCTGAGAAGGGGCAGCTGCATCCTTGACCACAACGCCCGCTCCAGCGCCACGCGCCACGGTGCCACGATACAGGCTCTGGGGGAAGCGGGGCGGGCTCCCGGCCGCAGCCACAGCCTCCACGGTGACCTGGGTCACTGAGTAGCGGGCAAGGTCGGCCTGTTGGCCCTGGAGGCGGGGGAGGCAGCAGTGACTAGTGGGGTTGAAGGTGGAGCTGGCGCTGAAGGCTGGGGCTCAGGAAAGGCAGGTGCAGACTTGGCGGGGGCCCTGCCCCGGCCCCCCAGCCCTGACCCCCCGCCCTACCTTCCACCCTTCCCCCTCTGCCCTGCCCCCCATGCAGGTGCCCACCTCACCTTCACCAGCAGAAGGAAGGTCATGGGGCTGGGGACACTCCTGGCCACGGTGAGGTTGCCCGAGTCTGGGTGGATGATGAATGTACCATTCACGTTTCCTGGGAGGATGATGGAAGTGCTCAGCCCCGGCCCCCTGAGGCCCAGGGACCCAGCCAGCTCTGCCCAAGGTGGGGATGGAGACAGGGACAGAGGGGGTACAGGGCATTGTTGAGGGCTGGGCCCCACTCACCCCTAAAGATGCTGTAGATGATGGGCTGGTTGATGCCGCGGTCTCCGTCCTCAGCGTAGATGGGTCCGGGACGCAGGACGAGGGGAGATGGCTTCAGGGATGGCGGAAGGGAGGGCACGTCGTGGGGCTGGGGTGGATGGCCCCAGCCTGGCCCCTCTGACTCCCCATCAAGGGCAGGGTTGGCTGAGGAGGGGCCCAGTCCCGCTGGTGGCCGGGCGTCCCTGCCTGCCTAGGACAGTCCCTTGTCCCAGCATCACAATCAGTAACACCCCTGTGGGTCCCTTACTAATGAATGAGTCCAGTTGCCCAAAGATACTGAGTCCCATTTGCACAAGGCTTGTCTTGACGGGTAAGCAAACATTTAGGAAGTGGGGGCTCCCGGGGTCTGCATTTCTGCCTCCCATGTACTGTTTGGTGGCCCCAGGTGCCTTGGTGCCAGGAAGGTTTGCAGACAGCCTGTGTGGGCCCAGTGGTGACTGTGAGCAGGGCAGAGATGTCAGCATCCCTTAAGAGCTCCAGGGCCCCAGCCCACCTCCCCAGGCCCCTGAGACCGCCTGGCTCTGGGGCCCACGCTCCTCCCTGTGTGTTCAGGGTTTGCTCCCTCACCGCTCAAGATGGGAAGGGTTGGTTTCCAAGGAGAGTCTGCATTTGTTTCAAAATCACGACCGAAATCGGCCCCACCCCCTGACCCCGACCCCGCCCTTCCTCTCCTGATCCTGGCCGTCCCTGTGTCCAGCCTGCCTAGAAGGCCCTGCCCCGTGCACTGCCCCTCCCTCCCCATTACCAGTATGTGCCCCGTGGGGACAGCCCCGTGGTACTGAGCTTGAATGCAGACGTAGCCATCTGAGAAGGTGCAGGGCAGGAACCACGGGGGCCGCAGGTCGGCGGGCACCACGTTCAGCACTAGTGTGGCGGTGGCAGTGTGGCTGGGTTCCACATTCTCCCCCGGAGTGTCCTGCAACAGACGGCTGTGCTGGATCAGGCCTGGGAGCAGCTGGGGCCGGGGGGCCTCAAGTGTGTGGGACTCGGGGCTGGGGTGACCTGCTCACCCGCACCAGCAGCCAGAAGGTCATGTTCGGCCGCTCGTAGAAGTCCAGGGGCCGGTCCAGCCTCAGGGCGGGACGGTTTACACTCACCAGGGAGAAGTAGTCACTGGCACCCTGGGGAGGGTCAGGGAGGACAGAGCCTAAGAGCCTTGGAGGGCGAGGGCGGCTGTGGGTGTCAGAGGCGAGGGGCTCGTGCTGGGGCAGGGTGGGCGGCACTGACTGCTGTCATTTCCTGGAGGGTGTAGAACAGAATGTCGTCCTTGTCGCGGTCCTCAGCCTGCAGTTGCGTCTCGGGGATGACGGTGGAGTTCACTTTCGTGTCCTGGGGAGGGAGAGGGGCTTGGTCCGGCCACACTCTTGGCCCCTGTGGACCCCCACTGTGGTTGAGCCCCCGGCCACCACTCACCTCCTGCCCTCACCCTGGGCTCCCACACCCCCGTGCCCAGTCCCCGCGGCTTCGCTGGCCTCACCTCCTCCACCCTTATCTCCTTGGTCTTAAAGGGGAATTCGGGGGCATTGTCATTGACGTCCAGCACTGACACGAACACCCTTAGCTGGGTCACCTGCAGGATGTGGCCGTCAGCCTCTCCCACAGCCCCTCCCCGTTGTGAGGTGCACCCCTCGACGGCTATCCGTCCCCACCGTGAGTGAGGTGCACCCCTCAACGGCCACCTGTCCCCGCCCTAAGTGAGGTGCACCCCTCGACGGCCACCCGTCCCTGCTGTGAGTGAGGTGCACCCCTCAACGGCCACCCGTCCCCGCCGTGAGTGAGGTGCACCCCTCAACGGCCACCCGTCCCCGCCGTGAGTGGGGTGCACCCCTCGACGGCCATCCGTCCACTCGCTCATTCAGTTGTTGGGGGGCTACAGGGGCTGCACAGCTCTAGGCGTTGGGATTCAGAGATCACAAGAGACAAATCTCTGCCTGGTGGTGCCTGTCCTGGCAGGACTTATAACAACAGACAAAAAGGACTTTATAAAGCCAGGAGGTGGCAGGTGCTCCACAGAAAAATAATGCAGGTACTTGGGGATGCAGCCAGCAGAATCTCAGGTGAGGAAAGACAATCCATTTTCTTTTCTCTGTTTTTTTTTTTTTTTGGTTTTTGTTTTTGTTTTTTGGTTTTTGGGTTTTTTTGGATACAGTCTCGCTCTGTCGTCACCCAGGCTGGAGTACAGTGGTGTGATCTCGGCTCACTGCAACCTCTGCCTCCCAGGTTCAAGCGATTCTCCTGCCTCGGCCTCTGCCCACCTCGGCCTCCCAAAGTGCTGGGATTACAGGTGCCTGCCACCATGCCCAGCTAATTTTTGTATTTTTAGTAGAGACGGGGTTTCACCATTTTGGCCACATTGGTCTCGAACTCTTGACCTCAGGTGATCTACCCGCCTCGGCCTCCCAAAGTGCTGGGATTCCAGGTGTGAGCCACGGCGCCCAGCCAGGACTCTTCTTTTTAGAACATAACCACAATGTCGTTGTCACACCTGGGAAAAGCGGTCACTTTCTACCTCAAATGTCCAGGATGCCACATTCCCCGTGGTCTCTGAAGGGTTTTTTAACAATTGTTTGTTTGAATCAGGGCCCACATTATGGACCTGGTTGGTAATTCTCCTGAGTTTCTGTTCATCTGTACCTTTCCCTTTCTCCCATCTTTTTTCCTGGAGATTTATTTGTGAAGAAACTGGATTGTCAGCCGGGCACGGTGGCTCACACCTGTAATCCCAGCACTTTGGGAGGCCGAGGCGGGCAGATCACCTGAGGTCAGGAGTTTGAGACCAGCCTGACCAACATGGAGAAACCCCGTCGCTACTAAAAATACAAAAATTAGCCGGCCGTGGTGGCGCATGCTTGTAATCCCAGCTACTCAAGAGGCTGAGGCAGGAGAATCGCTTGGACCCGGGAGGCGGAAGTTGCAGTGAGCCGAGATCGCTCCACTGCACGCCAGCCTGGGTGACAGAGTGAGACTCTGTCTCAAAAAAGAGTCTCTCTCTTTCAGAGACATATCCCAAGATATGTGCAGGTGACGTGCCGTGGTGCATGGAGGGCACAGAGCCTGCTGTGTGCTGGTAGGTGAGGGGGCCTGTGCTGGCCTCAGGATTCTGCAATTTTCCTTAATAAAGCCGAAAAAAATGCCGCCGGTCAAGAAGCAGGATGTTGGGGGAGCGGGGCTGGGATGCAACAGGGCATAGGGTGGTTGGGATTTCTCTGAAGACTGCAGTCCTGAGCCGGTGAGGGAGGGGCGTGCCTGGCGGGAGCCCTGAGGCTGCAGTGGAGCCTCTGCACAGTATGTCTGGGTTTGACTCGGTGAGAAAGGAGCCGTGGAGGGCTGGGGTGGGCTGGGCAGCCTTGGTTTACAACATCCACAGGGGCTGTTCTGCCACGTGGAGTGGACTGGGGCCAGCAAAGGGCAACAGGGAAGCCGGTGGGCCAGCTGGAAGTTTCCCAAAATGAGTGCTGGTGTCCCGGCCCTGATGGGACTGGAGGTGGACAGACTCTGGATTTCTGGGTCGAGCTGGGGCACAGCCAACAGATTTACCAGTGGGGGGCTGTGGGGGACACGTGGGGAGGGAGGGCGAGTGGGAACCAAGGTGGTCCCCGTGACTGGCAGGATAAAGGTGCCTCCCTTGTGGATGGTTGAGGGAGTGGGTGGGAGTCTTGGGCACACTGGATGGGGTGTCTGCTGGACAAGGGGTCAGTGACGGGGACTCCACAGCTCAGGGCAGAGTCTGGACTGGAGGAAATGTGGGCATCACCCTCGGGGGGGTGGAATTTGAAACCACACCCTAGCTGACGTCATCAAAGACTGGTCCTGGACCGGCAGGGCAGAGCCCAGCAGAGGTGGCCGGGTGGGGCGGGGAGAGCGGGGCGGGGACTCACCAATGTGCCTCCGCTCTGACACAGCAGCTGAGCCTCAAGCAGTGACTTCTCCTGTGGATGTAGACAGGTCTGCAGTCACCGTCCTGCCCCACAGGTGGGGAGACTGAGGCCAAGTGGGCAGGCGCTGGCCCAGGGTCCCCATCATCAGTGGTCAGTGCTGAGGGTGTGGGCCCAGGCAGCTTCATCCCGAAATGGCCCAGCCTTCTAGGGCAGGCACCACCAAGCATGGGTGTCAGTGGATGCCCGCAGGCATAGAACTCCTAGGCCCCCAAGGGAGGTGTGGCCTGAGGATGCAGGTGCCCTTCTCCCGGGACCCCCATATCCCGCCCGCCTGCCGCCCACACCTCGTAATCAGGAGTCACGTTGAGAAACAGCTGGTTTCCCTGGATCCGAAATGCAAAGGGGGTGGACAAGGCTCCGAGGGTCACCTCCTGGCCCTCCGGGACGTGGATGTCCACCAGCGGCTCGGTGACATTTGTGTTCTCCTCTACTTCAAAGATGTCCTTGTTCACAGAGCAGTCTGTAAGGTTGCAGAGGAGGGATCAGTGCCTCCCAGCCCCTGGCTCCCCGCCGCCCGTGCCCCACCTACCCCTGCCCGCACATACACTGGGCCTGGGCCATGGTCCCCGGGGGTCGGACGAGCAGCCCGGTGAACAGCAGGGGAGGCCACAGCAGGGCCCAAGACCCCATCTTGGCGGCTGTCACCTGGCAGGAGGGTCTGAGCGGGTCTGGCGTCTAGGACTGGCGCAGTTCCTACCTCAGCGACCTTCGCCCCAGCCAGACGCCGCCCAGTTTATGATCCTTTACGACCGGCTTCTGCCAAGGGGGCTCCCGCTGGCCGGCTGGTCCAGCCCACTGCCAGAAGGAGGGGCAGTCGTTTGGCCCAAGTTGGACTGAGTGCAGGGGTCAACCAGGGGGCTCAGGTCACAGGCACCGAGGCACAGGGCAGAAGGGACTGGAGAGCGGCTCATGGGTGCCGTGGGGGTAGGGGCAGGGCAGGGGCAGGGCTAGGGTGTGGGAGAGAAGCTGGGGGCTGGGGGCGGGGGCTCGGCCCTTGGTGTCGGGGTGTCTGGAACCTGCCTCCCTAGCCCAGGCTGCCCTGGCTTGGCTCCTCCCCTAAGATCTCCCTCAGGCAAAGTTCCTAAGGCCACCCCTTGAGGCTCAGAACCCGGGTGTTCCCCAGGGAGCACCTCCCTCCCTGCCTGACAGCAGGTTCTGAAGGAAAAGGCTCTCCTCACTGTGTCCTGGGGACACCCCTGCCTGCCCCAGAGACAAGTCGGCTTCTCAGGGCGGGGCTGGACAGGGCCTTAGTGACTGAGGCTAAGGCGGGGCTGTGAGGGGCAGCTGGGAGTTCCTGGGGGGCCCTGGTGCCCGACAGAGGGGGTGAGGTGAGACTCGACACTTGCCCTGCTCTTTTCATTGGCCCCCCAGAAGCCCCCAGCTCTAGGGAGAGGCCACTGGGTAGGGTCGGGGCGAGGAAGTGGCTGTCGTGAGGGGTAGGTGGAGTTCTCCTCCTCCAGGCCTGTGCGCCGAAGCTTCTGGCCTCTCATGGCTGGGGCTGGGCTCAGTGTCCTAACCCTGCACGGTGCCCTCATGGTCGCCTTCAAGCCCTGCACGCTCCGTGCTCCACAGGCTCTGAGGGGTCAAGCCACTGGTCCGAGGCCACACGAGACAGAGGGTCCGGAGTCCTCACGCCAGAGTGGATTCCTGGCACCCCAGGTGACACCTCCACCCTCCCCTCTTCCTGCCCGCCTGAGCCCCCCTGGCCCCTTCACACCCTCCCCACTACCCCTTACAGAAACACTGACCACATGGGCCCCCGGGCAGGAGCTGAGAGGGTGTCCGGGATCCCCCGAGCCCCAGAATGTTTCCTAATGGATGACAAGGGGTGGGGCGGGGCCCTGCAGTACTTAGTCGAGGTACAGGAGGTGGCCCTGATGCCAGAGATAAGGATGAGGGGCCGCCGTGCCTGCAGGTGTAAAGGGCAGCTGGGTGTGGTCAGTCCCTCCTGGGTGGATGGGCCTCCATCCATCCCTCAGCCCCGCTACACAGGGGTTGCCTCGATTACACTGAGTGGACACAGACAACTCCCAGCGTCTGGGTCTGATTCCTCCTTTATTGGTGCCAAGTACCACCCCTCCCCCTCTCCCCCATCCTGCCCCCCACCCCAAATGCAGCTGCGCTCCTGGGCCGGGCAGGTGGTGAGGGGGTTCCTTCCTCATCTGGGCCGCAAGGTTCCTTCTGCAGCAGCGCCAGCTGGTTCTGAAACCATAGGCCCAGGGGGCAGCCAGGGAGACCAGGTCCCGTCCAGGGGCATCCTGCAGAGACAGCACGTGAGGGTCTGAGGGCTGGGGCTGGAGACCCCGGCCCCGCTGCTGGAATTGGGCCTCCAGTGGCCACCAGCGCTGACCCGGGGAGGCCAGGACAGAAGGAGGGGTCTGGGGTGGGGTCTGGAGTGGGGTCTGCGGTGGGGCGGGTGCTCACCAGGCCTGCAGGATGGGCATGTTGGACCCTGACGGGCAGAGCAGACCCGCGCTGAGCCTGGTCCAGGCCATGCTGTTCTCTGCGTCCTGCTCGCTGCCCCCCGCCCCAAAACAGAGTTAGTCCTGGAGCTGGGGGGTCGCGCGTTGCTGCTGGGGCACCACGCCAGGACCCCCCACCCCACCCGGCCTCACCTGCGCTTCCCCACCAGGCCCTGTAGCAGCCGCTGGAGCCGCGCGCCCTCCCGCAGGCGGCTGAGCTCGCTGGTGAACGTCCCGTCTGAGTGTCGCCGGGCCCTGCGGGCGGTCGGGGGTCGGGGTCAGGGCGCACTGGGGGCGGGTGGGGCCCGGGGGGCGGGCGGGCCTGGCGGGCGGCTCACCTGGGGGGCGCGGGGCGCGCGGCGGAGCCCCCGAGGAGCAGCAGCAGCAGCAGGAGGGGCCGGGGGGCCATGGCGGGGTCGGGGCGCAGGAGCTGAGCGCTGCGGCCACGGCCCCGGGCCCCCGCAAGGCCCCTTTATGGCGGCGCCCGGAAAGGGGACGGCCCGGCCGCGCCCAGCGATCCCGGGAAGGTCAGGGCCGCCCCCCCAGCTGTCGCCCCGGCCCGGCCTCCCGCCCCCTCCGCCGCGCTGGCGCCCCTCGGCCGGCTGGGGGAGGGGGACGTCCCGGCCTGGGGGGCGAACGGAGCGCGGGCCTGGGACCCGCAGAGGGAACCGCACCGCGAAGCCTCGGAGCCTGCGGGGGCGGAGGGGCCGGAGGGCTTGGGGGAGGGTTTGGGGGGGGACTGGGGGGCCCCGGGGAAGGGGCTGCGGCCGGAGTTCCGGAGGCCCCTGGAGCACCTTGCTGGGGCGAGTTCGTCTCCAGCTTCAGCGTGGCGTGACTGTTGGGGGGCCGGTGTTGCCATTTTATCTGCTTTGAAGTGCGCGATTCAGGATCATTCGGTGCATCCATCCCCACCATCCGTTCTCAGACTTTCCCGTCCTCCCAAAATCCGTTCACAGACGCTCCCGTCCTCCCAAAATCCGTTCACAGACGCTCCCGTCCTCCCAAAATCCGTTCACAGACGCTCCCGTCCTCCCAAAATCGTTCACAGACGCTCCCGTCCTCCCAAAATCGTTCACAGACGCTCCCGTCCTCCCAAAATCGTTCACAGACGCTCCCGTCCTCCCAAAATCCGTTCTCAGACTCTTCCGTCCTCCAAAAATCCATTCTCAGACTCTTCCGTCCTCCCAAAATCCGTTCTCAGACTCTCCTGTCCTCTCAAAATCTGTTCACAGACGCTCCCGTCCTCCCAAAATCCGTTCACAGACGCTCCCGTCCTCCCAAAATCCGTTCACAGACGCTCCCGTCCTCCCAAAATCCGTTCTCAGACTCTCCTGTCCTCCCAGAATGAAGCTCTGTCCCCATCAAACGCCCCCTCCCCTCCTCAGCCCCGGCGCCCCGTCCACTTTCTGTCTGTGGATTCAGCGCTTCCAGGGACTGCGCGCAGGGGGAGCCTCACGGGATTTGTCCTTTGGAGACCGGCTGGATTCTCAGCGCAGCATCCTCCGCCTTCGCCGCCGCGGCCTGGCCTGTGTGGGAATCTCCTTCCCTTTTGTGGGGAACTGTGTCCCGCTGTGTGCAGGGACCGCATCGACCGCGTCCGCTCATCTGTGGGCATCTTGATGGACACCTGGGCTGCCTCCCCTTTGGGGCGACGGCGAGTAACGCTGCTGTGAACGTGGGTGTGCAAACGGCGCTTCCCGATCCCGTTTTCAAGCGTTCTTGGTGTATAGTTATGAGGGAATTGCTGGGTGACAGAGTAATTATGTGTTAAATATTCTGAGGAAACGCCAAACTGTCTTCCCAGCAGCGCAGCAGGGACACGGTTCTTGTCCTCGCCAACACTTGCTACTTTGTGGCTTTTTGTTTGTCGCGTACTAACGATGCCGGTGGGTGCGACGTGGTGTCTCGCTGCGGTTTTGATTGGCATCTCCCTAATGGCCAGCGATGTGGAGCATGTTCTCAAGTGTCTGTGAGCCATTTATACATCATGGAGTGGACGGAGAAATGGCCGTCAAGCCCTTTGATGTTCTGCTGTGGTTGCGAGTCATGCACTGTATCCGTCTGTTAAATCAGCCACAATATTTTCCCCAGCGTTTGCATCATTTCACAGCCCCGCCAGCAATGTGGGGCTGGCTGGCTGGCTGGCTTGCTGGCTTGCTTGCTTTTCTTTCTTTCTTTCTTTCTTTCTTTCTTTCTTTCTTTCTTTCTTTCTTTCTTTCTTTTTTTCTTTTTCTTCCTTTCTTCCTTTCTTCTTCCTTTCTTCCTTTCTTTCCTTCCTTTCTTTCTTTTTCAGAGGGAGTCTCGTTCTGTCACCCAGGCTGGAGTGCCGTGGGGCCATCTCAGCTCACTGCAACCTCCGCCTCCCGGTTTCAAGCAGTTCTTGTGCCTCGGCCCTCCAAGTAGCTGGGATTACAGGTGCCTGCCACTATGACTGGCTAATTTTTATATTTTTAGTAGAGACAGGGTTTCACCATGTTGCCCAGGCTGGTCTGAAACTCCTGACCTCAAGTGATCCACCTGCCTCGGCCTTCCAAAGCACTGGGATTACAGGCGTGAGCCACAGCGCCCGGCCTCACTTTCTCTGCACACTGTCAACATCCCTGCAGTCGCTATTTTTAACCTTCAGCCATTCTCTCTGCGGCAACACCTCCTTGTGGTCTTAGTTGCATTTCCCCAGTGGCGGGTGATTCCGAACCTCTTTCCAGGTGCTTGTTTCCATTTGCATGTTGTCGTGGGTTAAATGTATCTTCACATCTCTTGCCCGTTTTTAAATTGTTCTCTACTGCTGAGTTTTGTTTTTTTTTTTATTGTGGGAAAACATGCATAACATGAAACTTACCATTTTAGCCATTTTAAAGTATGAAGTGATACTTAGTACGGTCACGGAATTATACAACCAGCACCGCTGTTTAGTTCCAGAACTTTTTACTCCCCAGATGGAAAATCTCAAATCCATAAAGCATTTACCTCCCCTTCCCCCATCCCTTCAGCTCCTGAGTAACAATGAATTTACTTTCTGTCTCTGTGGATCTGCCTGTTCTGGGTATTTCATACCAATAAAATCCTAAAAGCTGGGCATGGTGGTACATGCCTGTGGTCTCGGCTACTTGAGACGGTGAGGCAGGAGGATGGTTTGAGGCCAGGAGTTCGAGACCAGCCTGGGAAACATAGCAAGACCCTGGTCACTATTTTTATTTATTTATTTATTTTTATTTATTTGTTTTGAGATGGAGTTTCACTCTTGTTGCCCAGACTGGAGTGCAATGGCGCGATCTTGGCCCACTGCAACTTCCGCCTTCTGGGTTCAAGCAATTCTCCTGCCTCAGCCTCTGGAGTTGCTGGGATTACAGCACCACCATGCCCAGCTAATTGTGTACTTTTCATGGAGGCAGGGTTTTGCCATATTGGTCAGGCTGGTCTTGAACTCCTGACCTCAGGTGATCCGCCCGCCTCAGCCTCCCAAAGTGCTGGGATTACACGCAGGAGCCACCGCGCCTGGCCCCAGAATTTCATTCATTTTAATGGAAAAATCACACTGCATTTGGTTCATCCATTCACCTGCTGAGGACGTTTGGTTTATTTCTACCTTGTATATATTGTGTTTGTTTGTCTGCTTGAGACAGAATCTCGTTCTGTTGCCCAGGCTGGAGTGCAGTATATGATCTCCGCTCACTGCAACCTCCGCCTACCAGGTTTAAGTGATTCCCCTGCCTCAGCCTCCTAAGTAGTGGGACTACAGGCATGCACCACCACACCCCCTAATTTTTGTATTTTTAAAAAATATTTATTTATTTATTTACTTTAGAGACGGACTCTCACTCTGTCACCCAGGCTGGAGTGCACTGACCTGATCTCAGCTCACTGCAACCTCCGCCTCCCGGGTTCAAGCTATTCTCCTGCCTCAGCCTCCCAAGTAGCTGGGATTACAGGCACCTGCCACGCCCGGCTAATTTTTGTATTTTTAGTAGAGACGGGGTTTAACCCTGTTGGCCAGGCTGGTCTCCAACTCCAGGTCTCAGGTGATCCACCCGCCTCGGCCTCCCAAAGTGCTAGGGTTACAGGCATGAGCCACTGTGCCCGGCCAGTACTTTGTGTATTTTCAGTGGAGATGGGGTTTCACCATGTTGGCCAGGCTGGTCTTGAACTTCTGGCCTCAAGCAATCTGCCCACCTCGGTCTCCCAAAGTGCTGAGATTACAGGCGTGAGCCACCATGCCCGGCCCCTTTTGTATATTGTGAATAGTGCCGCTGTGAACATTTACATACAAGCTTTTATTTGAACACCTGTCTTCACTTCTTTTGGGTATGTAACATACCCACTGAGTCATATGGCAACTCTACGTGAAACTTGTTGAGGAACTGCTGGACTTCTTCTCACAGTGACCATTTTATATTCCCAAAAGCAGTGAATGTCTCCTCATCCTTAACACTTGGTATTTTTATTTATTTATTTATTTATTTATTTACTACCATGGCCATCCTAATGGATATGGAATGGTATCTTACTGTGGTTTTGATTTGCATTTCCCCAGTGACTAATGAGGTTGAGCATCTTTTCAAGTGCTTTGTGGCCATTTGTGTGTGACATATGTATATTTTTTGTTTGTTTGTTTGTTTTGGGGACGGAGTCTCGCTCTGTCACCCAGACTGGAGTGCAATGGTGCGATCTCGGCTCATTGCAACCTCCACCTCCCAGGTTCAGGCGATTCTCCTGCCTCAGCCTCCTGAGTAGCTGGGACTACAGGTGCCCGCCACCATGCCTGGCTAATTTTTTTGTATTTTTAGTAAAGACGGGGTTTCACCATGTTAGCCAGGATGGTCTCCATCTCCTGACCTCATGATCCGCCCACCTCGGCCTCCCAAAGTGCTGGGATTACAGATGTGAGGCACCGTGCCCAGCCATATTTTTTTTAAGACAGAGTCTCGCACTGTTGCCCAGGCTGGAGTGCAGTGGCGTGTTCTTGGCTCACTGTAACCTCTGCCTCCCGGGATCAAGCGATTGTCCCACCTCCGCCTCCCAAGTAGCTGGGATTATGGGCGCCCGCCAGCATACCCAGCTAATTTTTGTATTTGTAGTAGAGACGGGGTTTCACCATGTTGGCCAGACTGTTCTCGAACTCCTGACCTCAAGGGATCCGCCTGCCTCGGCCTCCCAAAGTGCTGGGATTACAGGCGTGAGCCACTGAACCCGGCCATTTGGGTATCTTCTTTGAAGAAATGTCTATTCAAGTCCTTTACTCATTTTCATTATTTATTTTATTTTGAGACAGGGTCTCACTTTGTTGCCCAGCTTGGAATATGTTGGCTCAATCACAGCTCACTGCGGCCTCAACCTCCTGGACTCAAAGGATCCTCCCACCTCAGATTCCCAAAAAGCTGTGACTATAGGCTCACGCCACCACACCCAGCTAATGTTTGTATTTTTAGTAGAGATGGGGTGTCTTTCTTTTTTTTTTTTTTTTGAGACAGAGTCTTGGTCTGTTGCCCAGGCTGGAGTGCAGTGGCACGATCTTGGCTCACTGCAAGCCCCGCCTCCCAGGGTCACGCCATTCTCCTGCCTCAGCCTCCTGAGTAGCTGGGACTACAGGTGCCCGCCACCACGCCCGGCTAATTTTTTGTAATTTTAGTAGAGACGGGGTTTCACCATGTTAGCCAGGATGGTCTCGATCTCCTGACCTTGAGATCCGCCCGCCTCAGCCTCCCAAAGTGCTGGGATTACAGGCTTGAGCCACCAAGCCTGGCCTGTTGTGGAGGATCTTCTATACATAAGACCATGTCATCTGCAAGTAGAAATAGTTTTCTTTTCCAATTTTGGATACCTTTAATTTCTTTTTCTTGAGTAATGCTCTTGCTAGAATGTCCAGAACAATGTTGAACAGAAGCAGCAGCAGTGGGCATCCTTGTCTCTTTCAAAGGCTTTTTGTTTCTCACCATTGAGTATGATGTTAGCTGTGTTTGTATTTTGTTTGTTTGTTTGAGACAGTCCCCCTCTGTCATTCAGGGTGGAGTGCAGTGGTGCGATCTCGTCTCACTGCAGCCTCCACCTCCTGGATTCACGTAATTCTCGTGTCTCAGCCTCCTGAGTAGCTGGGACTGTAGGCGTGCGCCACCATGCCCAGCTAATTTTAATTTTTGTATTTTTAGTGGAGATGGGATTTCAACATGTTGGGCATCTGGTCTTGAACTCCTGATCTCAAGTGATCCACCCGCCTCGGCCTTCCGAAGTGCTGGGATTACAGGCATGAGTCACGGCGCCCGGCCTGATGAAGTTTGTTTCTATTCCTAGTTTATTGAGTCTTATTATCATGAAAGGGTTTTGAATTTTATGAAATGGTTTTTTCTGCATCAGTTGGGATGATCGCGTGGGTTTTTCTTCATTCTGTTAATGTGGTGTATGACATTGAATTTCGTCTGTTCGTTCACCCTTGCATTCCTGGGATAAATCCCACTGGGTTATGGTACATAATCCTTTTAAAAATGCTGTTTTTCGGCCAGGCACTGGCTCACGCCTGTAACCCCAGCACTTTGGGAGGCCAAAGTGGGCGGATCATGAGGTCAGGAGTTTGAGACCAGTCTGGCCAACAGAGTGAAACCCTGTCTCTACTAAAAATACCAAAATTAGCTGGGCATGGTGGCACGTGCCTGTAGTCCCAGCTGTTCAGGAGGCTGAGGCAGGAGAATAGCGTGAACCCGGGAGGCAGAGGTTGTGGTGAGCCGAGATCACACCACTGCACTCCAGCCTGGGTGACAGAGTGAGACTCCATCTCAAAAAAAAAAAAAAAATGCTGCTTTTCTGGCAGGCAGCACTTTAAAAGGGACTGTGTTTGCTCATATTTTTTCGAGAACTTTTGCATCTATATTCATAAAGGATACTCATTTGGAATTTTATTTTTGTGATATCATTACTGTTGAGTTTTGAGAATTATTAATCTTTTTTGTATACAAGCCATTTGCTGGATATATGATTGCTAATTTTTAAAAAAAATTTGTTTCTTTTTTAATTTTAATTTATTATTTATTTATTTATTTATTTATTTATTTATTTATTTATTTTGAGACGGAGTCTCGCTCTGTCGCCCACGCTGGAGTGCAGTGGTGCGATCTTGGCTCACTGCAAGCTCTGCCTCCCGGGTTCACGCCATTCCCTTGCCTCAGCCTCCCGAGTAGCTGGGACTACAGGTGCCCGCCACCACGCCTGGCTAATTTTTTGTATTTTTAGTAGAGACAGGGTTTCACTGTGTTAGCCAGGATGGTCTCGATTTCCTGACTTCGTGATCTGCCTGCCTCGGCCTCCCAAAGTGCTGGGATTACAGGCATGAGCCACCTCGCCCAGCCTATTTATTTATTTTTTGACACAGAGTCTTGCTCTGTTTCCCAGGCCAGAGTGCAATGACGTGATCTCCGCTCACCGCAACCTCTGCCTCCTGGGTTCAAGTGATTCTCCTTCCTCAGCCTGCCAAGCAGCTGGGATTACAGGTGCACACCACCACGCCCGGCTTTTTTTTTTTGAGACGGAGTCTTGCTCTGTCACCCAGGCTGGAGCGCAGTGGCACAATCTTGGCTCACTGCAATCTCCGCCTCCCGGGTTCATGCCATTCTCCTGCCTCAGCCTCCTCAGTAGCTGGGATTACAGGTGCCCGCCACCACGCCCGGCTGATTTTTTTGTATTTTTTAGTAGAGACAGGGTTTCACCGTGTTAGCCAGGATGGTCTCGATCTCCTGACCCTGTGATCTGCCTGCCTCGGCCTCCCAAAGTGCTGGGATTACAGGCGTGAGTCACCACGCCTGGCCAATTATTTGTATTTTTAGTAGAGATGGGGTTTCACTATGTTGGCCAGGCTGGTCTTGAACTCCTGACCTGGTGATCCACCTGCCTCGGCCTCCCAACGTGCTGGGATTACAGGTGTGAGCCACTGCGCCTGGCGTAGACAACCCAATTTTTAACAAAAGCAAAGATTTTTAACAGGCACATTCCAGAAGAGGGCATGCTGACAGTTAACAGGCACATGGGAAAAGTGGTCAAACATGAGTAGCCATCAGGAAAATCAACGACGTCCTACTACACTAAAATGGAAGAAACATTGCCAGACGTGGCCATTTGCAAATGTCGTTTCCTGGTCTGTGTCTTTTGATTCTCCTGACAGCATATTTGAGTTAATTTTTTAATGTGTAAGGTATGAGTGGAGGTCCTCATTAAAAATTGTTTAGGCTGGCTGTATGGCTCATGCCTGTAATCACAGCACTTTGAGAGGCTGAAGTGGGAGGATCATTTGAGCCCAGGAGTTTGAGACCGGCTGGGCTAACATGGCGAGACCCCGTCTCTACAAAAAATAAGAAAATTAGCTGGGTGTGGCACCACGCATCTGTAGTCTCAGTTGTACAGGAGGCTGAGGCCAGAGGATCACTTGAGCCCAGGAGATTGAGGCTGCAGTGAGCCATGATTGCAGTAAGATGTGATCACATCCAGTTACATTTGATTTTCAGATAACAGAAGTTTAGTGGAGGCTGGGGGCAGTGGCTCACAGCTGTAATCCCAGCACTTTAGGAAGCTGAGGCAGGTGGATCACCTGAGGTCAGGAGTTCGAGACCAGCCTGGCCAATATGATGAAACCGTGTCTCTACTAAAAATACAAAAAAATTAGCCGGGCGTGGTGGCGGGCGCCTATAATCCCAGCTACTCAGAAGGCTGAGGCAGGAGAATCGCTTGAACCCGGGAGACGGAGGTTGCAGTGAGCCAAGATTGTGCTGCTGCACTCCAGCCTGGGTGATAAGAGTGAAACTCCATCTCAAAAAAAAAAAAAAAAAAAAAACAAATTGGGGTTGTCTGTCTTTTCTCATTGTTTCCATTGTTTCTGGATCTGTGTGTCAGAGATGTGTGCTGCACACATCCTTTCTCCGCCTAGCTTGGTTTTCACTCTTGGTGGTCGCAGACATCTTGGGGGCTACTTGAAGGAACTCTAAGCCGACCAGAGGCTGGGCTGGACTCGCCGTTTGGCGCCCAGCCGGAGACCCCAGGGCCACCCTCCCCGGTTCCATCCTGGGAGAGAAGAAACTTCCACTGTCCCAGTCTCTCCTGTGGTGACTTCTTTTGCTCAAGGGTTCACAAGGGCAGCAGACTGATCTGCACAAGAGGGACTGAGCCTGGCTGCGGCCGCACCTGATGCCTGTGCACACCTGTCCCTGGTGGTCTCTCCTGTGGTGACTTCTTTTGCTCAAGGGTTCACAAGGGCAGCAGACTGATCTGCACAAGAGGGACTGAGCCTGGCTGCGGCCGCACCTGATGCCTGTGCACACCTGTCCCTGGTGCAGGCCCTTCCCCCGCAGCCCCGGTGACCTTGTCCTGTGAGGCTCACGGTGCCTGCTCCTTCTCAGAGTCCTCATTTCTCCCTTTAACGCACGCCCTGTCAGCGCCTCCGTCTAGCCCGTGTCCTCCAGACCTTTGAGGTCAGGGGCCTCAATTCCTGGCACAGCCCCTCCACTCCAGGCCTCCCAGAAACAGACTAGAGCATCAGGATGTGCGCCGCCTGGGGTCCCACAGAGTGGTGCCCCCTTTTAGTGTCTTCTAGGCCCCTTAGTGACAGACTACAGAAAATACCTCTCAGGTCACAGGTCACCCCTCTTTGGTGAAGAGTCCATAGAATTCTCTGCTGCGCTTTGCAAGCACTTTCTCTTCTGCACGTTTGGAACCTACCCCGGCCTGTCGTGTCTTTCTCCTGGCCTCCTCGCGAGCCGAACCTGCTGTCCGGTCCCGGGACCCCCTGCCCAGGGTCAGAGGGGCGCCTACCTAGCTCACGGTCTTGGGCCGGAGGGAATGGAGGAGGGAGCGGGGTCGACCGCTCAGCTGTCCGCCCAGTTTCGGAGGCGGCCACGCGAGGATCAACTGTGCAACGGGTGGGGCCGCGGCTGACCGTGGTGGTCGCGGGGGCTGAGCACCAGAGGCTGCTGGGGGGGGCGGCGGGATGAGCTAGGCGTCGGCGGTTGAGTCGGGCGCGGAGTCGGGGGCAGGGGGAGCGGGCGTGGAGGGTGCGCACGAGGTCGAGGCGAGTCCGCGGGGGAGGCGGGCAGAGCCTGAGCTCAGGTCTTTCTGCGTCTGGCGGAACGGGCCTGGGAGGGAGGTTTTGCCAGATACCAGGTGGACTAGGGTGAGCGCCCGAGGGCCGGGACGCACGCACGGGCCGGGTAGGATGGCGCTGGCGTCGATGCCCGCGCGCTTCAGGGCCTGGTCTGGCCGCCCCTCCATCCTTGTCGGTTTCTCGGGTCGCGGACCCCGCGCGGCGCCGGGCGATGCTGGCCTGCCCGTGGCCACCACCTCGCTTCATTCCCGTCTCTTTGGGCCGCCGCATTCGTCCACGTGCCCGTCTCTCCCTGCGCAAAATTCCAAGATGAGCAAATACTGGGCTCACGGTGGAGCGCCGCGGGGGCCCCCCTGAGCCGGGGCGGGTCGGGGGCGGGACCAGGGTCCGGCCGGGGCGTGCCCGAGGGGAGGGACTCCCCGGCTTGCGACCCGGCGTTGTCCGCGGTGCTCAGCGCCCGCCCGGGCGCGCCATGGGGAACCGCAGCACCGCGGACGCGGACGGGCTGCTGGCTGGGCGCGGGCCGGCCGCGGGGGCATCTGCGGGGGCATCTGCGGGGCTGGCTGGGCAGGGCGCGGCGGCGCTGGTGGGGGGCGTGCTGCTCATCGGCGCGGTGCTCGCGGGGAACTCGCTCGTGTGCGTGAGCGTGGCCACCGAGCGCGCCCTGCAGACGCCCACCAACTCCTTCATCGTGAGCCTGGCGGCCGCCGACCTCCTCCTCGCTCTCCTGGTGCTGCCGCTCTTCGTCTACTCCGAGGTGAGCCGCGTCCGGCCGCACGAGCATCCTCACCTGCTCCTCGGTTCCCCGTCCCTGTCCCTACGGAGGACCCGGCGCGACCCGGCCCCTTTCTGGTGCGGAGCTTCCAGCTGGGGCGGCGGCAGGGGCGCTGCGCCTTGTCCCTCGGCGATACACCCACCGCCGCCACCTCGCGACCTTCCACCCGCTGCGCTGTCTGTCCCCCGACCCTCGTTCCTCTTCTCCTTCCCCGTCTGTCTTGGCGTCTGTTATCCAGGAGATGCCCGTCCTTCTATCCAGGGACCCCGGAAACAGGCGACTTTGTCAAGCCCAGTCCCCTCCGTAGCTGGATTTCACCTCCAGGGCAGCCAGCTGGACAGACAGGCAGATGCAGGCTCAGCCCCCTGGCTGCCGTGGGACACACACACACACACTGCCACAGCCACTGCCCACCACACACACCTAGTGCAGATGCTGGCACACCCCCAGAAGGAGGCTCACAGCTCGCAGGGGAGACCTGGGCTGGACAAAACCCAGGGGAGGGGAGGGTGTGTGGGGACCAGGCCCCTGCTGAGAACCCTGGGGGGAAGCCTGAGGGGGAATTGGGGGATGGAGCCCACACTCCACACCAGGTCTGGCCCTCGAGTGGGTCGGCCTTGGTGCCAGCCCCTCTGCGGCCAGAGAAAAGCAGCTTAGGGCTGAGCTGGAGACGCGGTGTCCCCGACTGTGGGGGAGGGGGACTCGAGGTTTCCCCTTGATGGACACAGTGAATCCAGGCGGCTGGGGCAGAGACCAGCAGCACGGGACACGCGTGACCTGTGCTCCTTTCGAGCCGCAGACGTCACAGTGACGACGTTTAAGCTCCTAATCTCCCCAAATCGGCGGGAAGGATTAGAGGGGCTGCCTGCTCCTTTGCCCTTGGAGAGAGTCACTCCACGTGGAGTCCTACGCTGGGCACTGGGCACGGTCTTCATATTTTTAATTATAATTTATCTTCAAGACAATTATGATGTGGATACTATCATCACCCTTGTCTTACAGATGAAGAAACAGAAATGAATTAACGTGCCCGAGTCTCCCACAGAGAACTTAGCCAACAGAGCAGCCAGCTTCGCTTCTAGGCCCAGCGGGGACCCTGCCTACCCCAGGCTGGGGAGGGGCTCCCTTTGAGCCCGATGATATCAGGCCCGCCCCCAGGGAATTCCCCAGGCCGTTCTCATGTTTGTAACAAAAGGGAGACCAAGGCCAGAAGCCGTGATTCACGCCTGTAATCCCAGGACTTTGGGAGGCAAAGGCAGGAGGATAGTTTGAGACCAGCCTGGGAAACATACCAGGCCTGGTCTCTACAAAAAATTTTAAAATATCAGCCGGGGGTGGTGGCTGCGGCTGTTGTCCCAGCTATTCGGGGGAGCTGAGGCGGCAGAATCGCTTAAACCTGGGAGGCGGAGGTTGCAGTGAGTTGAGATCTCACCACTGCACTCCAGCCTGGGCAACAAGAGCGAAACTCCGTCTCAAAAAACAAAAAGAAAAACAAATCAGCCGGGGGTGGTGGCGCGCGGCTGTAATCCCAGCTACTCTGGAGACTGAGGTGGGAGGATCGCTTGAGCTCAGGAATTCCAGGCTACAGTGAGCCATGATGGAGCCACAGCACTCCAGCCGCGGTGACACAGCGAGACCCTAACTCAAAACAAAGGGAGATCTGCGTGGGGAAGGGGTGTTTCCCTGCCCGGTCCTCTGGCCTCTGGCTCACAGCCGGGCCCCCTTCTCCGTATTCAGCCCTGGAACTACCCATAAGAGTGGGGGGGGGTCACAAGGGCCCGCGGTGGCTGGGAAACCTCAGGGCCTGTGGTGTCGCCGCGCAGGTCCAGGGTGGCGCGTGGCTGCTGAGCCCCCGCCTGTGCGACGCCCTCATGGCCATGGACGTCATGCTGTGCACCGCCTCCATCTTCAACCTGTGCGCCATCAGCGTGGACAGGTGCGCCGCCCTCCCCGCCCGCGCCCCGGCGCCCCCGCGCCCCGCCCGCCGCCCTCACCGCGGCCTGTGCGCTGTCCGGCGCCCCCTCGGCGCTCCCCGCAGGTTCGTGGCCGTGGCCGTGCCGCTGCGCTACAACCGGCAGGGTGGGAGCCGCCGGCAGCTGCTGCTCATCGGCGCCACGTGGCTGCTGTCCGCGGCGGTGGCGGCGCCCGTACTGTGCGGCCTCAACGACGTGCGCGGCCGCGACCCCGCCGTGTGCCGCCTGGAGGACCGCGACTACGTGGTCTACTCGTCCGTGTGCTCCTTCTTCCTACCCTGCCCGCTCATGCTGCTGCTCTACTGGGCCACGTTCCGCGGCCTGCAGCGCTGGGAGGTGGCACGTCGCGCCAAGCTGCACGGCCGCGCGCCCCGCCGACCCAGCGGCCCTGGCCCGCCTTCCCCCACGCCACCCGCGCCCCGCCTCCCCCAGGACCCCTGCGGCCCCGACTGTGCGCCCCCCGCGCCCGGCCTTCCCCGGGGTCCCTGCGGCCCCGACTGTGCGCCCGCCGCGCCCAGCCTCCCCCAGGACCCCTGTGGCCCCGACTGTGCGCCCCCCGCGCCCGGCCTCCCCCCGGACCCCTGCGGCTCCAACTGTGCTCCCCCCGACGCCGTCAGAGCCGCCGCGCTCCCACCCCAGACTCCACCGCAGACCCGCAGGAGGCGGCGTGCCAAGATCACCGGCCGGGAGCGCAAGGCCATGAGGGTCCTGCCGGTGGTGGTCGGTGGGTTCCTGTCCTGAGGGGCGGGGAGGAGAGGAGGGGGGGGGTACGAGGCCGGCTGGGCGGGGGGCGCTAACGCGGCTCTCGGCGCCCCCAGGGGCCTTCCTGCTGTGCTGGACGCCCTTCTTCGTGGTGCACATCACGCAGGCGCTGTGTCCTGCCTGCTCCGTGCCCCCGCGGCTGGTCAGCGCCGTCACCTGGCTGGGCTACGTCAACAGCGCCCTCAACCCCGTCATCTACACTGTCTTCAACGCCGAGTTCCGCAACGTCTTCCGCAAGGCCCTGCGTGCCTGCTGCTGAGCCGGGCACCCCCGGACGCCCCCCGGCCTGATGGCCAGGCCTCAGGGACCAAGGAGATGGGGAGGGCGCTTTTGTACGTTAATTAAACAAATTCCTTCCCAAACTCAGCTGTGAAGGCTCCTGGGGGCTGATGGGGAGTGGGAAGAGGGGTTTCTGCCTCAGTGGCCCCAGGCCCCCCAGCCAGTTAACCTCTTTCTTCCCGCCAAGGAAGCCCACAGAGCAGACCCCACCAAGCCGGCCGCCTGCTCAGGGTGAGGGGGAAGGGGCCCCCGAGAGCCACTCAGTTCGGCAGCGCTGGGGCCCAGCTTCCCCTCTCTGCAGGGGAGAGGAAGCAGCACCCAGCAGGGCAAGGTGTCTCCTGGGGAAGCCCAGTTCCGATGGGAAGAAACAAATGGGGAGAGGCGGGGTGGGGGGCTGTCAGCCGCCAGGCCCTGCCCGGGCCAACTCCCACCTCTGAGAACCAGGCACAGGGGGCTCCAGGCTCATGCTGCCCCAGCAGACCCCGGCAGGGGAGCCCAACCTGTCATTTTAGAAGCTGCCTTGAGGCCAGAGCCTAGCTTCCTGCCAGTCCCTGGCCAGAGGATGACCCAAGCCCCACAGCAAGGGGCCTGTGGTGATGGGTGGGGCCCCACCAAGTGGCTTCCCTGGAGGGAGCTCCGTGCTCAGTCACCCCTGGTGCCCAGCCAACCTCTGCCCAGCGTCCACCAATGTGGCTGGGCCAAGGGGTGGGAGCAGGGAGGCGGCAGCGGGGCCAGGGGCTGGGCAGAGCGACCCAAGCTGCCTGTCTGCACCCTGGCTCCATCAACCAGTGCAGCCCCTGACCCTGGGGGAAGAGGGGCGGCTCCCAGGGCCCTCCATGCAGGAACAGCCTACCCTGGACTGGATCCAGCTCTCTCCCAGGCCCAGGTTGTGGGAGAAATGGGGGACCCTCCGCCTCCCAATTGTGCTGGCTGGAACCTTCCTGTGCTGGGGATTCGGCGTTTGCAGCCAGGGTGGCCAGTCAGGGTGCCAGGCTCCCATCTGAACACTGACAGACTGTGGGCTGTGCAGTCTACAGCATTGGGCACAACCTCAGCTTGCTAAAATACTCAGTGCAGGCTGGGTGTGGTGGTCACGCCTGTAATCCCAGCTACTCGGGAGGCTGAGGCAGGAGGATCCCTTAAAGCTAGGGAGTCAAAGCTGCAGTGAGCCGAGCTCGTGCCACTGCACTCCGGCCTGGGTGACGGAGACCCTGTCTCAAAAAAGAAAAGAAAACGAGTATTGGGTGGAGAGAGGACCAAGCCCAATTACTACTTTAGTGCGGCTGCCCCGTCCCGTCTGGTGACCACGCACTTCTGTGATGGCCTCAGCGGCTGCCTCCTCCAGGACACCTTCTCCGACTACCTGCTTCCCAGGACCAGCCTGTCCCAGTCACCCCCGGAACAGACTGAGTCACAGTGGATTCCTCTCAGACACCCGTGAGAGTGAAGGAGGGGCTCCCGCCAGCTTTGTCCCAGGACCCACAGCCCCACACGTGCCTGACAGCGCTGGAGGCCATGGGAGGCGCACATGCATCTGGGGGTCCTGGGGGTGCTGACAGCCCTGGGGCAGGGCGACCTCTGACCATCAGCCTCCCAGGCTTGGAAAGGAGGAGCTGTGGAAACCTGGGATCCCAACAGACGCGTGGTGCTTGGCTTCTGTTTTACGGAAAGTTGGGGAAGAGTAAGTGGCCCCCACAATTCCAGGGAATACCCCCACTCCATTCCTGCAGGGCCTGGCGCAGGAAGCCAGGTGGCATCACTGCTGGCGGGGGTCACTGTGCCAGAGGGCTCCCACGGTGCCTCCCCCACCAGGCAGGGGTTCAGCTACTTCCTGCAGCTGTGCTCTCTGCAGAGATGCTGGTGTTCTCAGCTTTGGGGGATTATTCTTAAGAGGTGCAGGTCCTCAATTGCCTGCCACCTTTATGTTGGTTAAAACCCAAAGGAGCAGGCCCAGCCCTGCTGTCTCATGGAGGTCAACCCACGGCCCGCCTGCCTGGACAGGGCAAGGCCAAGCAGGGCCTCTGAGATGCCTCCACCTTGCGGCAATGGCAGACCCTGCTGGGTTGGATGAAAAGCCATTGTAGAGTCTCAGAGGAAGGGCCAGGCGGGGTGAGGGTCAGAGGAAGGGCCAGGCGGGCTGAGGGTCAGAGGAAGAGCCAGGCGGGGTGAGGGTCACAGGAAGAGCCAGGCGGGCTGAGGGTCAGAGGAAGGGCCAGGCGGGCTGAGGGTCAGAGGAAGGGACAGGCGGGGTGAGGGTCACAGGAAGGGCCAGGCGGGCTGAGGGTCAGAGGAAGGGCCAGGCGGGGTGAGGGTCACAGGAAGGGACAGGCGGGGTGAGGGTCACAGGAAGGGACAGGCGGGGTGAGGGTCAGAGGAAGGGCCAGGCGGGCTGAGGGTCAGAGGAAGGGCCAGGCGGGCTGAGGGTCAGAGGAAGGGCCAGGCGGGCTGAGGGTCACAGGAAGGGACAGGCGGGGTGAGGGTCAGAGGAAGGGCCAGGCGGGCTGAGGGTCAGAGGAAGGGCCAGGCGGGGTGAGGGACACAGGAAGGGCCAGGCGGGCTGAGGGTCAGAGGAAGGGACAGGCGGGCTGAGGGTCACAGGAAGGGCCAGGCGGGCTGAGGGTCACAGGAAGGGACAGGCGGGGTGAGGGTCAGAGGAAGGGCCAGGCGGGCTGAGGGTCAGAGGAAGGGCCAGGCGGGCTGAGGGTCAGAGGAAGGGACAGGCGGGGTGAGGGTCACAGGAAGGGCCAGGCGGGCTGAGGGTCAGAGGAAGGGCCAGGCGGGCTGAGGGTCAGAGGAAGGGACAGGCGGGCTGAGGGTCAGAGGAAGGGACAGGCGGGGTGAGGGTCACAGGAAGGGCCAGGCGGGCTGAGGGTCACAGGAAGGGACAGGCGGGGTGAGGGTCACAGGAAGGGACAGGCGGGCTGAGGGTCACAGGAAGGGACAGGCGGGGTGAGGGTCACAGGAAGGGCCAGGCGGGCTGAGGGTCAGAGGAAGGGACAGGCGGGCTGAGGGTCAGAGGAAGGGACAGGCGGGCTGAGGGTCACAGGAAGGGCCAGGCGGGCTGAGGGTCACAGGAAGGGACAGGCGGGGTGAGGGTCACAGGAAGGGCCAGGCGGGCTGAGGGTCAGAGGAAGGGACAGGCGGGCTGAGGGTCAGAGGAAGGGACAGGCGGGCTGAGGGTCACAGGAAGGGCCAGGCGGGCTGAGGGTCACAGGAAGGGCCAGGCGGGGTGAGGGTCACAGGAAGGGCCAGTCGGGTGAGGGTCACAGGAAGGGCCAGGCGGGGTGAGGGTCAGAGGAAGGGACAGGCGGGCTGAGGGTCAGAGGAAGGGCCAGGCGGGCTGAGGGTCAGAGGAAGGGCCAGGCGGGCTGAGGGTCACAGGAAGGGACAGGCGGGGTGAGGGTCACAGGAAGGGCCAGGCGGGCTGAGGGTCAGAGGAAGGGCCAGGCGGGCTGAGGGTCACAGGAAGGGACAGGCGGGGTGAGGGTCACAGGAAGGGCCAGGCGGGCTGAGGGTCAGAGGAAGGGACAGGCGGGCTGAGGGTCACAGGAAGGGCCAGGCGGGCTGAGGGTCACAGGAAGGGCCAGGCGGGGTGAGGGTCAGAGGAAGGGCCAGGCGGGGTGAGGGTCACAGGAAGGGCCAGGCGGGCTGAGGGTCAGAGGAAGGGACAGGCGGGGTGAGGGTCACAGGAAGGGCCAGGCGGGGTGAGGGTCAGAGGAAGGGACAGGCGGGGTGAGGGTCAGAGGAAGGGCCAGGCGGGCTGAGGGTCAGAGGAAGGGACAGGCGGGGTGAGGGTCAGAGGAAGGGCCAGGCGGGCTGAGGGTCACAGGAAGGGACAGGCGGGGTGAGGGTCACAGGAAGGGACAGGCGGGGTGAGGGTCAGAGGAAGGGACAGGCGGGGTGAGGGTCAGAGGAAGGGGCAGGCGGGCTGAGGGTCAGAGGAAGGGCCAGGCGGGGTGAGGGTCAGAGGAAGGGCCAGGCGGGCTGAGGGTCACAGGAAGGGACAGGCGGGGTGAGGGTCAGAGGAAGGGCCAGGCGGGCTGAGGGTCAGAGGAAGGGCCAGGCGGGGTGAGGGTCAGAGGAAGGGCCAGGCGGGGTGAGGGTCAGAGGAAGGGGCAGGTGGGGTGAGGGGCACAGGAAGGGCCAGGCGGGATAATGGTCAGAGGAAGGGCCAGGCGGGGTGAGGGACAGGCGGGGTGAGGGGCAGGCGGGGTGAGGGGCAGGCGGGGTGAGGGGCAGGCGGGGTGAGGGGCAGGTGGGGTGAGGTGCAGCATCTGGAGCGCGTCCTGCAGCAGCCCAGACACCTTTTCCAGCCTCCACTGCTCACTGGCAGCACCAACGGTGCAGCACCGGGCACGCCTGAGCAGGATGATGAAACATCAGTGAGGGCTTGGCCTGGCTGGGCAGAGACTTTACTAAGTAAATAGGCCAGGGCGGTGGCTCACACCTGTAATCCCAGCACTTTGGGAGGTCGAGGTGGGTGGATCACCGGAGGACAGGAGTTCGAGACCAGCCTGGCCAACACGGAGAAACCCCGTCTCTACTAAAAATCCCTAAACTAGCTGGGTGTGCTGGTGGCCACCTATAATCCCAGCTACTCGGGAGGCTGAGGCAGAAGAATCGCTTGAACCTGGGAGGCGAAGTTGCAGTGAGCCAACATTGTGCCACCACACTCCAGCCTGGGTGACAGAGTGAGACTCTGTCTCAAAGAAAAAAAAAAAAGAAAACCAGAATAAACCAGGTGGTCCTGAGAAACCCAGAGACTGAAAATATCGGGGGGCCTCTGCGGGGCCCAGTGAACATCCCCTTCCAAGGGGGCTTTGGCCACCTCTCGGGCTCAGCTCCAGCTGGTGCAGAAAGCGCTTCAGAGGCAAACATCAGAATCACTGGTGCAGGTTCCTCCTGGCGCTGCCACCCTACCCCAGGTGCCTGCTGAGCTGTTGCTGAGTCTGTACTTTCTCGCCCCAAGGCAGCCACAGCCATGGAGCCTTCTGTGTGCAGAGAACACAGGCCATGAGGGCAGAAGCTTCCAGAACAAGAGTGATGCTGCTCCAGCAGCGCTCTCGGTCAGGAGGGCAGGGGGGTCCCATGTTCAGGCCCAGCCCAGTGCCCAAACACGCTGGACACGCCCCCTTGTGCCCCCCACAGGCTTCAGCCCTTTCTCTCTCCTCCACCTGGCGCCAGGGCCATGAGAAACAAGGGGGAGACCAGGAGGCCATGAGGCTCTGCGTGTGGATCCCTGGACCGAGGCCACCAAGCTGTCCACGTGGACTGAACAGGCCGTGCTGGACCGTCGGGCTTGCTCAAGCAGCCAGGGCACAGGAGGCACCATGTGCCCCGAAACCTGGCGGGAAGGGCCGTAGGCCTGCTGCACCTCCCAGCAGCCACGAGGGTCTCGTGGAACAGAAGGAACGAAGACCTCCTGGACTACACGAGCCACCAGACGCCAGGGCTTCAGCCCGGCCGCGCTGCCCCGTGCACCGGAGGCTCCGGCCTGGCCGCGCTGTCCCGTGCACTGGAGGTGCGGTGGGCTTGGTTTTCCCACCTGCGCAGTAGGAGGAAGGGGAGGAAACCCCCCCCCGAGGGCTGGCACTGCAACCGGCCGTGTGGGGCAGGGAGACCTTATTTACACTTTATTGACAGACACAACACGTATGTATGTGCGTCGCAGCACAGGCCCTGTGGGCAAGACCGGACGCTCATGATCCCAGGGATAAAAAATCTGTCCGCGAGCGGGCAGGGGGCCCGGGCAGGGGGAGTGCGCTTCCCAGGGCACCATTCGCTTAAAGTGTGTTAATGACTTGTCCAGCAAGTTTCTTTACCTTCCCACACCCCTCTTCTCAACGTCCCCCCAGAGTCCTCAGGGGGGCCTTCGACCTGCAAAAGCCTCACAGGAGTGCGAGGGGCCCCAGCTCCCAGGGCGGCCGATGGAGCCTCACACGGTCACCTTCTCCATCACGCTTTCAGCCACGTGGACTTCGTCTGCCTGGACGGTGACAGCTGCTGACTGGCCGCATATGTGCTGGTGATCCTTCCAGTCCTGGAAGGGAGGACACACCCATGTCAGCAGGGTCAGTGGGTGGAGCAGGGTCTGGGCAGGGTCCCCAAGGCAGACCCCAGAGGGTGCAGCCCTCTGTAACCTCACCTGGAGGTGCTGAGAATGCCCTCCCCAGCCCCCGTGCGCCCAAACTCTGGTGGGCTCTGCTCCAATACAGCCTTCCCCACACTCTCTTGGTTTGAGGAATTGGATCAAAAGGCAAACAACAGGCAGGGCACGGTGGCTCACGCCTGTAATCCCAACACTTTGGGAGGCCCAGGAGGGTGGATCCCCTGAGGTCAGGAGTTCGAGACCAGCCTGGCCAACATGGTGAAACCCCGTATCTACTAAAAATACAAAAATTAGCTGGGCATGGTGGCAGGCACCTCTAATCCCAGCTACTCGCGAGGCTGAGGCAGGAGAACTGCTCAGCCCTGGGAGGCAGAGGTTGCAGGGAGCCGAGATGGTGCCACTGCACTCCAGCCCGGGTGACAGAACAACTCCATATCAAAAAAAAAAAAAAAAAAAAGTCAAACAACAAACCAGGGTAAGACTCTCCAAACCAGTTGTTTTGTGTTAGGGATGTAAACAAAAAATATCACACATGCAGAAAAACATTTAAATATGTAAATATTACATATGTAAATTACGATCAAGTTCTGTGGGGGTTTTTTTGTTGTTTTTCAGACAGAGTTTCGCTCTTGTTTCCCAGGCTGGAGTGTAACGCGCAATCTCGGCTCACCACCTCTGCCTCCTGGGTTCAAGCAATTCTCTTGCCTCAGCCTCCCTAGCAGCTGGGATTACAGGTGCACGCCACCACACCTGGCTAATGTTTTGCATTTTTAGTAGAGACAGGGTTTCACCATGTTGGTCAGGCTGGTCTCGAACTCCTGACCTCAGGGGATCTGCCCGCCTTGGCCTCCCAAAGTGCTGGGATGACAGGTGTGAGCCACTGCGCCCCGCCCCAGTTCTGTTTTTAATGGCAAAGATGAAAAAGCAAACTGGAACCAGCCCGTGGCTGCAGAGAAAGGAGGTGGGGGATGGTGCCTGGGAGAAGCCACAGCTCCTGTGAGGTCAGCACACAGAACCAGGCTCTGCCTCCCTGCTACGTCGAGCACCTCGGAATGGAGCAGAGCTCTAGAGGAAGCGCCAGGTGCTGAAGCTGAGACGGCCTCGTCAGACAGAGGCAGCTCCGTGCACGGGGGCGTGATAGGTACGTATATGACACACAGAGCAGAAATAAATGCTTCCAAATGGTGACAGAGTTATTCCCTAGAGAGCAGAATTCCAGCTGATTATAATAAAAGAGCAAAATTAGGCCGGGCGCAGTGGTTCACGGCTGTAATCCCATCATGTTGGGAGGCCGAGGTGGGCAGATCACCTGAGGCCAGGAGCTCGAGACCAGCCTGCCCAACATGGCAAAACCCCATCTCTACTAAAAATACAAAAACTAGCCGCCTGTGGTCATGCGCACCTGCAATCTCAGCTACTTGGGAGGCTGAGGCACAAGAATCACTTGAACCTGGGAGGCAGAGGTTGCAGTAAGCCAAGATTGTGCCACGGCACTCCAGCCCGGGCAACAGAGTGAGACTACGTCTCAAAAAAAAAAAAAAAAAAAAAAAATTAAAATTACCTGGTAATAGACTATAAATCTACATAGCATGAAAGCACATACATCAGCAAACTGCAGCATCGGGTGCAGACCCACCGCCCGCCCCTCCCGGGCCTCCACTCTGGGGCAACCAGGAAGGGTTCCGGTTCCTGCCGAGACTCTGTGTGGGGTGAGGGGCCTGCACCCCTCATGGGAGCTGCCCCCCGTGAGAGGATGTGGGCGGCGGACAAGGCCCCCAGGAGTTCTAGATGCTTCCTTCTCTGGTCTACAGGTTTGAGCCACTCCCTGGGGCCTGTGCAGATGGAGGGAGAGAGGGCGCACATCAGTGTTGACTCTGAGCTACAGAAGCTTCCATCAGGTTCTTCCAGCAAAGAGGCAAAGGCCCAGGGTTGACTTTTAAAATCAGAACTACTCAGTTCTTTTTTAAAGCAAATTTTTCCATCTTAAACATCAATGTGATGCTTCTTACAGTATAATGCTAAAACACTTTTGAAAAAAAAATCATTATCTGAAAAGCCAGAATTAGAAGTTAGCGTTTCAGTTTTTGAAAAACGGAAAAAAATGGTTAAATTCACAAGAAGCTAACAATGAAAGTGCCTGATACAAATAAATGAGAAAAGCCAACATCACAGACTGTAAAAACAATGACTTCGGGAGGTCGAGGTCACTTGAGGTCAGGGGTTGGAGACCAGCCTGAGCAACATAGCAAAACCCTAGCTCTATAAAAAAAAAAATGTTTTAAAATTAGCTGGGTGTGGTGGCTCATGCCTGTGGTCCAAGCTACTTGGGAGACAGAGGCAGGAGGATCACTTGAGCCAGGAGATCAAGGCTGTAGTGAGCCGTGATGGCACCACTGGACTGCAGCCTGGGTGACAAAGCGAGACCCTGTCTATAGAAAACCTAAAATAGGCTGGGTACGGTGGCTCATGCCAGTAATCTCAGCACTTTGGGAGGCCAAGGCAGGCAGATCATGAGGTCAGGAGTTCAAGACCAGCCTGAACAACATGGTGAAACCCCGTCTCTGCTAAAAATACAAAAATTAGCCGGACGTGGTGGCGGGTGCCTGTAATCCCCAGCTACTAGGGAGGCTGAGGCAGGAGAATCGCTTGAACCTGGGAAGTGGAGGTTGTAGTGAGCCAAGATCGCGCCGCTGCACTCCAGCCTGGGTGACAGAGCCAGACCCTGTCTCAAAAACAGAAACAAAACCAAAAACAAACGAACAAATAAAAACCAAAAATAAGTAATGAAATAAAAACAGTGACTAAAAATCCAATTAAAACACAATCCAAATCTGACTTACAGTGATCCAGGCCTCACAAATGAAAATAATGATGCGTGGGGCTTGCTTTAAAATGCTCAGCCCTCAGCCCAAAGAGAGAGGGGGACAAGCCAGGAGGGCAGGCGCTAAAGCAGCTGATACAGGTGAGGGCGACGGGCCTCTCCTGGGCGATCCAACTCATGTGCACGTCTCACATTTTCCAAAGTTAAGGATTAAAAGAAAAGTGTTGCCACCACAGCACGTAGGTGACTCAATCCAGGCAGTGCTGGGAGCAGGTGGGTGGACTTGACCCAGGCGGTGCTGGGAGCAGGTGGGTGGACTTGACCCAGGCGGTGCTGGCAGCAGGTGGGTGGACTTGACCCAGGCGGTGCTGGGAGCAGGTGGGTGGACTTGACCCAGGCGGTGCTGGGAGCAGGTGGGTGGACTTGACCCAGGCGGTGCTGGGAGCAGGGGATTCCTGTTGGGGCTTCATAACATGCATAAACTCGTGTATACTTTTGTGTACATACCAAGTCCTCTACAATTAATTTTTAAAATTATCACTGCCTTTTTTTTTTTTTTTTGAGACGGAGTCTCCCTTTGTCTCCCAGGCTGGAGTGCTCTGGCACGATCTCGGCTCACTGCAAGCTCCGCCTCCCGGGTTCATGCCATTCTCCTGCCTCAGCCTCCCGAGTACCTGGGACTACAGGCGCCCACCACCACGCCAAGCTAATTTTTTTGTATTTTTAGTAGAGACGGGGTTTCACCATGTTAGCCAGGATGGTCTCGATCTCCTGACCTCGTGATCCGCCCGCCTCGGCCTCCCAAAGTGCTGGGATTACAGGCGTGAGCCACCGTGCCCAGCTGAAGGCAGCTTTTTAAAGAACAGGATCTGAGGGAGGCTTGAGGACAGGGTGTCCTGGGCTGGAGGTCCGGCTGGAAGGCAGCTTTTAAAAGAACGGGATGTGTTCGTTCTGTAGGTGAAAGGAGCTCAGTAAGTGCTTATATTGGGGCCCAAATAGTGTTTGCCAGGAATGTATACACTCAGCCTCTGCAGTACACTTTCCCTGCTTGAGGAAATTCTATCCTCCTACTGAAACTGAGATAAATTAAAATGTATATTGTAATACCTATAGCAGTAAGAAAATAACAACTTTAAAGATACTGTTTAAAAATGTTCAACAAAAGAATTGAAGTGGTACACTAGAAAACACAACTAGAAAATACACATTTAACAGAAAAGAAGGCAGTGAAAGAACAGAGGAGCAAAACATGAAACATAAACTGCAAATATAAACACAAATCCACTCACATTGATAATTACATTAAACATGAGATTAGGTTTTGCGCAGTGGCTCATGCCTATAATCCCAGCACTTTGGGAGGCCAAGGTGGGAGGGTTACTTGAGCCCAGGAGTTCAAGACCAGCCTGGCCAACATGGCAAAACCCTCTCTCTACGAAAAATACAAAAATTAGCCTGGCATGGTGGTGCATGCCTGTAATCCCAACTACTTGGGAGGCTGAGGCAGGAGAATCGCTTGAACCCGGGAGGCAGAGGCTGCAGTGAGCCGAGATTGCGCCACTGCACTCTAGCCTGGGCAACCGTGCGAGACTCCATCACACACACACACAACAACAACAACAAAAACGGGCATGGTGGCGGGTGCCTGTAATCCCAGTTACTTGGGAGGCTGAAGGAGGAGTATTGCTTGAACCCGGGAAGCGGAGGTTGCACTGAGCTGAGATTGTGCCACTGCACTCTGGCCTGGGTGACAGAGAGAGACCCCACTTAAAAAAAAAAAACAGCTGGGTGTGGTGGCTCACACCTATAATCCCAGCAGTTTGGGAGGCCGAGGCGGGCGGATCACTTGAGGTCAGGAGCTCAAGACCAGCCTGACCAACATGGTGAAACCCTGTGTCTACTAAAAGTACAAAAATTAGCCGGGTCTGATGGCACACTCCTGCAGTCCCAGTTACTCGGGAGAATGAGGCACGAGAATCCCTTAAACCCAGGAGGTGGAGGCTGCAGTGAGCCGAGATTACGCCAGTGCACTCCAGCCTGGGCAACAAAGTGATACTCTGTCTCAATTCAAAAAACAAAACAGGCCGAGTTCCAGTGCGGTGGCTCACACCTGTAATCTTAGAACTTTGGGAGGCTGAGGCGAGTGGATCACCTGAGGTCAGGAGTTCGAGACCAGCCTTGCCAACACGGAGAAACCCCATCTCTACTAAAAACACAAAAATTAGTTGGACGTGGTGGCTCATGCCTATAATCCCAGCTACTCAGGAGGCTGAGGAAGGGAAATCACTTGAACCCGGGACGTTGAGGTTGCAGTGGGCTGAGATCGTGCCATTGCACTCCAGCCTGGCGACAGAGTGAGATTGTCTAAAAAACAAAAACAAAAACAAAACAAAAAAGTAGATTAAACACTCCAATCAAAAGGCAGAGACTAGTGTGGTGGTTCACACCTGTAATCCCACCACTTTGGGAGGCTGAGGCGGGTGAATCTCTTGAGGTCAGGAGTTTGAGACCAGCCTGGCCAACATGGTGAAACCCGTCTCTATTAAAAATACAAAAATTAGCTGAGTGTGGTGGCAGGAGCCTGTAATCCCAGCTACTTGGGAGGCTGAGCTATGAGAATCACTTGAACCCAGGAGATGGAGGTTGCAGTGAGTGGAGATGGAGCCACTGCATTCCAGCCTGGGGGACAGAGTGACAGTCCGTCTCAAAAAAAAAAAAAAAAAAAAAAAAAAGGCAGAGACTATCAGACTAGATTAAAACCTAAGATCCAACCACATTCTGTCTCTAAGGGAATGCTTAAGAGCCAAGGACACAAAATTAGAAGTAACAAGATGTTTGTTTATTTATATGTTTATTTAATTAAAAAATAGAAACAGGGTCTCGCTTTGTTGGCCAGGCTGGCCCTGGGCTCAAGAGATCCTCCCCTCTTGGCCTCCCAAAGTGTTGGGATGACTGGTGTGGGCCACTGCACCCAGCCAAAAAGGTTTTTTTTAAAAAGATGCAGGCTGGGCGCAGTGACTCATGCCTGTCATCCCAGCACTTTGGGAGGCCAAGCGGGGGTGGAACACTTGAGTCCAAGGGGTCGAGACCAGCCTGGGCAAAATGGCGAAACCCCGTCTCAACTAAAAATACAAAGAATTAGCTGGGCGTGGGGCGTGTATCTGTAGAGGCTGCCGTGAGTCAAGATCATGCCACTGCGCTCCAGTCTGGGTGACAGAGTGAGACTCTGTCTCAAAAGTAAAAGATGCAAACATTCACCATAAGACAGGTGGAGTGTCTATGCTACTATCAGAAAAGGTAATTTTTTTTTTTTGAGATGGAGTCTCGCTCTGTTGCCCAGACTAGAGTGCAGTGGAGTGATCTTGGCTTACTGCAACCTCCGCCTCCCAGGTTCAAGCAATCCTCCTGCCTCAGCCCCGCTAGTAGCTGGGATTACAGGCACGCGCCACCACGCCTGGCTAATTTTTGTGTTTTTAGTAGAGATGGGGTCTTACCATGTTAGCCAAGCTGGTCTCAAACTCCCGACCGGTGATCCACCTGCCTCAGCCTCCCAAAGTGCTGGGATGACAGGCGTGAGCCACTGTGCCCAGCTAGAAAAAGTAAATTTTAATATAAAAACTTCTGTTGGCTGGTGTAGTGCCTCATGCCTATAATCCTAGCACTTTGGGAGGCTGACATGGGAGGATCGCCCGAAGCCAGGAGATGGAGACCAGGCTGGTCAACATAGTAAGACTCCATCTCTGTAAGAAAAAAAAAAAAAAAATTAAATAAAAAATAAAAAACTTATTGAGACAAAGAAGGATGTTTTATAATGATAAAAGAGCTAATTCATCAGGAATGATAATTATAAACTAAACATACATGCACCTAACAACAGAGACCCAAAATAAATGAAGCAAAAACAGGCATAATGGCAGATAAAAACAGATAATTCAGCTGGGCACGGTGGCTCACGCCTGTAATCCCAGCACTTTGAAAGGAGACTGAGGAGGGCAGATCACAAGGTCAGGAGATCGAGACCATCCTGGCTAACACAGTGAAACCCTGTCTCTACTAAAAATACAAAAAATCAGCCGGGCGTGGTGGCGGGTGCCTGTGGTGCCAGCTACTCGGGAGGCTGAGGCAGGAGAATGGCGTGAACCTGGGAGGCGGAGCTTGCGGTGAGCTGAGATGGCGCCACTACACTCCAGCCTGGGCGACAGAGCGAGACTCCGTCTCAAAAACAAAAACAAAAACCAGATAATTCAACAGTAATAGCTGGAGAGTTCAACACTTCACTCTAAATAAGGGGTAGAACAAATAGAGAAAATCAGTGAGAATATGAAAGAGTTGAACAATACTATCAACCAACCTAACTGATATCTAATACTCCACCCAACAGAGCAGAATATACAAGCAACACTCTCCATGATAAGACCATACGCTAGGCCCTAACACAAATCTCAATAAATTTAAAGGTACTGAAAAACACTAAGTATGTTCTTGAACCACAATGTAATTAAAGTAGAAATTAATTATAAAGGTACATTTAAGAAATCCAGAAATATTTGAAATTAGCATACTTCTTTTTTAGATCTACTCCTGAATCCAGCACACACTTCCAAATAACTCATAGGTCACAGAAAAAAATCACACGGCAAATATTTTCAACTGCATAAAATATTCGAACTGAATAAAGATGAAACACAGGCTGGGTGCCGTGGCTCACACTTGCAATCCCAGCAATTTGGGAGGCCGAGGCAGGCAGATCACTTGAGGCCAGAAGTTTGAGACCAGCCTGGGCAACATGGTGAAACCCTGTCTCTACTAAAAACATAAAAATTAGCCGGGGGTGGAGGTGCATGCCTGTAATCCCAGCTACTCGGGAGGCTGAGGTAGGAGAATCACTTGAACCCGGGAGGCAGAGGTTGCAGTGAGCCGAGATCTTGCCACTGCACTCCAGCCTGGGCTACAGAGCAAAACTGTCTCAAAAAGAAAATAGAGAAGGAGGGCAGAAGGGCACACTTCCCAATTGATCTGAAAGGCCAGTGTTGCTCTGACACCAACATGAAACAAAGACATCACAGGACAAAATATAGACCAGCATCTCTCATAAATATGAGAAAAAAAAACCATCAAAAAGATTAGTAAAGCTGCTGGGAACAGTAGCTCACACCTCTAAATCCCAGCACTTTGGGAGGCCAAGGTGGGTGGATCACCTGAGGTCAGGAGTTCGAGACCAGCTTGCCCAACGTGGTGAGACCCCGTCTCTACTAAAAATACAAAAATTAGCCAGGTATGGTGGCGCATGCCTGTAATCCCAGCTACTCGGGAGGCTGAGGCAGGAGAATCGCTTGAACCCGGGAGGCAGAGGTTGCAGCGAGCCAAGATCGCACCACTGCACTCCAGCCTGGGTGACAGAATGAGACTCTGTCTCAAAAAAAAAAAAAAAAAAAAAAAAAAGAGTGACTAAATGCTCCCGAGTACTCTGATTATGGTAGACAAAGTTATACAATCCTGAACTACCGTTTGTAGCCTACAAAATTTCTCTTGAATTTCTGTGGAGCGGAGGGCTGAATAATAGAGGAACTGTGGACGCTGTCTCTCGCGTGGCTCTGCAGGGGTGTGGAGGGCTCAATAATAGAGGAACTGTGGACAGTCTCTCTCTCGCGTGGCTCTGCAGGGGTGTGGAGGGCTCAATAATAGAGGAACTGTGGACGCTCTCTCTCGCGTGGCTCTGCAGGGGTGTGGAGGGCTCAATAATAGAGGAACTGTGGACAGTCTCTCTCGCGTGGCTCTGCAGGGGTGTGGAGGGCTCAATAATAGAAGAACTGTGGACAGTCTCTCTCGCGTGGCTCTGCAGGGGTGTGGAGGGCTCAATAATAGAGGAACTGTGGACAGTCTCTCTTGCGTGGCTCTGCAGGGGTGTGGAGGGCTGAATAATAGAGGAACTGTGGACAGTCTCTCTCACGTGGCTCTGCAGGGGTGTGGAGGGCTCAATAATGGAACTGTGGACAGTCTCTCTTGCGTGGCTGTGCAGGGGTGTGGAGGGCTGGGAAGCACTGACCAGCAGCCCTCAGGGTTTCCGGCCACCAACTGTGGGGCCTCACATGAGAGCACTACCTGGCCATGTCACATGTGAGCCTTCTGCAGGGTCTTCACGGAGCCAGGCAGGAGCCCCGGATTCCCAGAGGGAGGGACAGGGAGGGGAGTCAGGTGTGGCACCAGGAGCACAAGGGGAGGGAGGGCCACCCAGGGGTCTTCGTAGCGAGGGAGGAGGCGGGGGCACTGAGCCTGGTGTAGGTGAGACCTACCTTGCGTTGGCAGAAGGTGGAGCAGTAGTTGACCTTGTGGCAGCCGGTGCACTCGCTCATAGCCTCCCGGCCGCAGTTAACGCAGGACTGCTGCAAGAAGGACACAACAGGCCAGTCAGTGACGTGGCCATGGAGAGCCCCTGAGACACCGGGGACAGAGGCAGGTGCAGGCAGGAGGCCCCAAGTTCCCCCCATTGGACCCCCTTTTTTTTTTTTTTTTTTTTTGAGATGGAGTCTCACTCTGTCGCCCAGGCTGGAGTGCCGTGGCGCGATCTCAGCTCACTGCAACTTCCGCCTCCTGGGTTCAAGCAATTCTCCTGTCTCAGCCTCCTGAGTCTGGGATGATAGGTGCCTGACACCACGCCCAGCTAATTTGTGTATTTTTAGTAGAGACAGGGTTTCACCATGTTGGTCAGGCTGGTCTTGAACCTCTGACCTCGTGATCCACCTGCCTCGGCCTCCCAAAGTGCTGGGATTACAGGCGTGAGCCACTGCGCCCAGCTCCCATTGGACTCTTGACTGCGCCTCTGCCCCAGTGCTGCTCAGAACGTTCTTGTCACCTCCAGAATCAGCTCTTTCCTGGCCTCAGTGCAGTTTGCCCCCTACATTCATTCACTGGAAGACCAGTATGGGCCGGGAGCAGCGGCTCATACCTGTAATCCCAGGACTTTGGGCAGCCGAGGCGGGTGGATCACCTGAGGTCAGGAGTTCAGCACAGGCAACGTTGCGAAACCCAGTCTCTACTAAAAATACAAAAATTAGCTGGGTGTGGTGGTGGCCACCTGTAATCCCAGCTACCTGGGAGGCTGAGGTGGGAGAATAGCTTGCACCCAGGAGGCGGAGGTTGCAGTGAACCGAGATTGCACTACTGCACTCCAGCCTGGGTGACAGAGCGAGACTCCCATCTCAAAAAAAAAGGGAAATCAGGGCCGGATGCAGTGGCTCATGCCTGTAATCCCAGCACTTTAGGAGGCTGAGGTGGGCGGATCACGAAGTTAGGAGATCGAGACCATCCTGGCTAACACGGTGAAACCCCGAGATTGTACCATTGCACTCCAGCCTGGGCGACAGAGCAAGACTGTCTCCAAAACAAACAAACAAACAAACAAACAAAAACAAAGGGAAATCAGCATGGAAATCTTTCTCCAAACTCCAAGGAGCTTCACTCCAGCCAGGCCAGCACAGAAAATCAAACTCAGGAGTCCACCGCTCCCAACACTCCTGAGCAGGGCTGTGGGCATCAGCCTGGGCGCACCGTGGCAGGCATGTGTCCCAAACTGCTGCGGCGGTGCCCCAGCCAACACCCCCACGGCCCCACCTGAGCTGGTTTCTGTGGTGGATTGAAAAGATGCCACCAGAGGTTTGTGTACTTTCTCCTGGAATTACATTATTGGAGCTTTTCTTTTTAATCAGCGCATAGGTCAACATGCTGTCAATGATTAATGTTTGCGGCATGACTAAGGTGCTTGACAGTTGTGAGCTCCGCCGTCAATGCTCTCTGAGACGGAGAAGACCACTGGGCCTAGGAGAGGCCTTGGCGCCGCGACCTGCACGCCCGCTATGCGCCCAGATCATCCGCAGGCGCTGCGGGAGGGGCCGTGGCCAGTGGGTGAGTGGCAGCGTCTGTGAGCAGCACAGAGCAGCACAGGAAACGACTCCAGCGCGGCCCCACGGCCCCTGCACGCGTGCAGACCTGCTCCGAGGTTCTGTTCTGATGCTTGCCTCCCTCCTTCGCAAACGTGATCTTTAACATTTTTCCAGTTGTAAGACATTCAGAGCTCCGACATTCAGTCACTCACTTCAGAAAACAGGAGCATTAGGAGGAATTTTGGTGCTAATTTAGGTTGCCCCCTGCCTCTACTTTATTTATTTATTATTATTTTTTTGAGATGGAGTCTCACTCTGTCGCCCAGGCTGGAGTGTAGTGGCGCAATCTCGGCTCACTGCAACCTCCACCTCCTGGGTTTAAGTGATTCTTGTGCCTCAGCCTCCCCACAGCTGGGACTACAGGCACGGACCACCACGCCTGGCTAATTTTTTTGTATTTTTAGTACAGATGGGGTTTCACCATATTGGTCAGGCTGGTCTCGAGCTCCTGACCTCAAATGATCCACCTGAGTCGGCCCCCCAAAGTGCTGGGATTACAGGCATGAGCCACCGCGCCTGGCCTGTGCCTCTACTTTAAATGACAAACTTTTTTTTTTTTTTTGAGATGGAGTCTCGCTCTGTCGCCCAGCCTGGAGTGCAGTGGCACGATCTCAGCTCATTGCAACCACCACCTTCCAGATTCGAGCAATGCTTCCACCTTAGCCTCTCAAGTAGCTGGGATTATAGGCGCTTGCCACCATGCCTGGCTAATTTTTGTATTTTTAGTAGAGACGGGGTTTTGCCCTGTTGGCCAGGCTGGTCTCGGAAACTCCTGACCTCAGGTGATCCGCCTGCCTTGGCCTCCCAAAATGCTGGGATTACAGGCATGAGCCACCAAGCCCAGCCGACAAAATATTTCTTAAAAAGTCTGTAACCACAGAGAAGCTTCTCGAAGGAGAACACAGCTTCTGTAGGCTTTATTAACATTCTGGGTTGCTCTGTGGATGGCCGGGCCAGGCAGGACCCTGGTCCAGCCCCTCACAGACAGAGGTCAGGTGGGGTGGGAGGCTGGCGGGAGCGTGGTCACTGTCCCGGGGAGCGGCCCCCACGCTGAGAAGGGCACGGGTCTCCGTGTCCAGCAGTCCCTGTGCACCACACACCAGGACGTCCTGTACTTGCCCCCCAGCATAGTTCCTGGAGGACAGCACCCCTGAACTGAACGGGAAGCCTGTCCTGTTGCCTCGCAGGCGCCTCTTCAGCCTCAGCTGGGACTTTCAACCACTTGGGCCTTTCACGGTATGCCCTTTGCAAAACTTTTTTTTTTTTTTAAACTGAAAAATAACGTTCTAGGAAGGTTAGAAGGAGCTTTGGGGTCTGAATTAGAGTCAGAGGCAGTAGCATGAACTCATGTTCTCTTCACAGATACAGAAGTGGCTGCGGAGATGTTCATACACACAGGTGACACCCTCATCCCTGCTCTGCAGCTGAACAGGTGACACCCTCGTCCCTGCTCTGCAGCTGAGGGCCTCCACGTGACAACATCCCAGCAGCACCGGACCCACCTGGCACCCACCTGGCACCCAGGCCTCACTCTCTAAGACTTCCCAATAAAAGGACCTGGGGCTCCCTGCCTGGCACCCAGGCCTCACTCTCTTAAGACTTGCCAATAAAAGGACCCGGGGCTCCTTGGAGAAGGGGCTGATTCCCGGGCCAGGGCAGGGAATGCAAGAGGAGGCTGGAGCACCCTGCAGTGCCAGGAAGTCAGGACGTACCCCAAAATGAAAAGTCTGTTGAAAGGGGTGCATCAGGGGACCCAGGAGCCGACGGCAGGAGCTCCCTAGGGCCAAGGACAGATGGTGTGCTTCACAAGAAAGTAGTGTTGCCTTCTAGCTCAGAGTTTAAAACACATATAAAGTGAGCCCATCCGGATACAAACAAATGATCAAATAAATAAATACAAGTCCAAGCTATTCCAGATCCTCCCGTCTAGGAGAAGCCCCCCCACGGCCGTGGACTTGCTGCCTGACTAAATGTGCAAAGGGAGAAGCAGTCCTGTCACCAAGGAGACACCTACAGACACCTGACTCTGGTGAGGAAGGTCAGAGCTGTCTGTAATGTCACTTGGATGTCAGGGACGCCACAGTGGGGTGAGACAGGCGGCAGCACCCCTCCCTGAAACCTGTCGTCCACCCCCACGAGAAAGCACAAGACAAGCCTGGATCGGGGCACCTGGACAAACTGCCTGGCCAGGCCCTCTCAGAACTGCAGGGCATGGAAGACAAGGAAAGACTGAGAGACCGTCACAGGCCTGAGGGTGCTGGGCAAATGGTGCACGGGAGGCTGTCTCCCACAGGTGGCAGCGGGGACAAGGTCCTAGAGCAGAAACAGGACATTGATAGTGAAATTCAAAGTCCGGAGTTCACAGGGACACCCAGCGACGGTTTCTCAGCTACAACAGCCATGCCCTGTGGGCTTTGAAGTTACAGAGGGGAGGCTGCAGAGTGGCAGAAGGGACCCTCTGCGCTCACTTTGCAACTTTTCTGTAAACCTAAAATTATCCCGAAATACGTTTATTTTTTAAAATAACCATTCATTAGCCGGGCACGGTGGCTCACGCCTGTAATCCCAGCACTTTGGGAGGCCGAGGCAGGCGGATCACGAGGTCAGGAGATCGAGACCATCCTGGCTAACACGGTGAAACCCTGTCTCTACTAAAAATACAAAAAAATTAGCCAGGCGTGTTGGCGGGTGCCTGTACTCCCGGCTACTCGCGAGGCTAAGGCAGGAGAATGGCATGAACCCAGGAGGTGGAGCTTGCAGTGAGCCGAGAACGCGCCACTGCACTCCAGCCTGGGTGACAGAGCTAGACTCTGTCTCAAAAACAAAAACAAAAAACCATTCATTACTGCGGAAGAGGTGTGTGTGCGTTGCAGAAGGTTAGGACAAGACACCGCATTTCTGCGGCCAAGGACATCGACAAGTCCCATTCTGCGCTTTCAGGAAACTGTCAGGAAATCACAGGACTGCGGATGGCACAAAGGGCAGAAGTGCCCAGGCCTGCCCAGGCGCCCCAAGAAGCTCATGCTGCCAAGCAGCTGGCATTGCCATTAGCATTCAGAGTTCTCTGGGCCGCAGGCGGGCAGAGGAGGAGACTGCAGCAGAGCACCCTGCAGGGAGTCCCGCCCAAGCAGCGGGTCCAGCCCCTCAGCAGAGACTGCGAAGGGGTTTCCTGGCCTGCCTTCCCTGCTGCAGGGGCCCCCCATCTGCACATCACACAACAGGAACACACCTACTTTTGGCAATGCAATAGCTGGTGTACTCTGGTCCAGGTGGAAAAAAGCCTTGTGAATCACATATGCTGGTTTCATTATAATTGATTTTTAAATTAGACAAATTACAGATAACAAAGCCACTCCTTCAGAAACAGCCAACCAAGAGTAAGACCATAAGATCACATATAAAATGCCTATTAATTTCTAACTATCAAAGAATAAGTTAATAATGTATTCATTATTCTTTCTGCAAATAAAACTAAGTCTAACTTGAAAACCTAGATACTGGCCAGGCATGGTGGCTACACCTGTAATCCCAGCACTTTGGGAGGCCGAGGCGGGAGCATCGCTTGAGCCCAAGAGTTTAAGGCCAGCCTAGGTGACATGGCAAAACCCTGTCTCTACAAAAAAAAAAAAAAAAAAAATTAGCTGGGCATGGTGGTATGCACCTCTTAGCTACCAGAGAGGCTGAGGTGGGAGGATTGCTTGAGCCTGGGAGGTGGAGGTTGCAGTGAGCTGAGGTCACACCAGTGCACTCCAGCCTGGGTGACAGAGGGAGAACATGTCTCAAATGATAAAAAATAATAATAAAAAAGAAAACCTAGACACACCCCGGATGGAGATGAGGCTGTGGTTGGAGGCAGCCTGGTGGATCGTGTATCTTACAAGGAGTGCTTTCTTTATGACTTATTCTTAGAGGATGTAATGCTGCCAGGAGCCTCGATGGAGCCAACTCCGTGTCACCATCACTCCTGAACCAAATGGGGCCACAGGCCCACTGTGCACAGGGGCCTCCGCCTGCTTCAGGGGCCAGGTGATTGGAGGGCGAGTTGGCCTCGGGGTTCAGAGCCGCTGGGAGAACCCTGAGTAGCCTTTGCAGATCCGCTCCTGGGTCTAGTTCCAGAGGCTCCTTTCCCGGCACTGCAGTGAGTTCAGGTGAAGCAGCCGCCTAATTCCACAGGCCCGGCCTCCTCTGGAGAGACAGAGCGGGAGAGGGGAGAGTGAGCAGGAAGCCAGCGGTAGATGGGGCTTCAGGAGAACCTGCTGGACCCTGAAGCCGTGAACCGGAAGCTGGGGAGTCCCAGCGTCACCCTGCATGGAGGCTGAAATACAAAGTCCCCAACACAGGGCAGGTGGGGCCAGGTGGGGCTTGGGCAGGCAGGGCCCAAGGGGCTGCTGCTGTGCACCCTTGAGGTCTGCCCCCGGGACCACTGTGGCTTCACCAATGCCCACCATGGGGCAGAGGGCTCCCCATGACTGTGTCCCGTGAGGGCGCAGCAGCTCAGCTTAAAAGTAAGAGAAATGCAAATTAGACTGGATTACTCTCCCTCGAGGAAGCAACGGAAATAAGAGAAAACCCTCAAAACATCAAGCAGGTTTATCTGAACGCTGAGCCGCACACGTAAAGAGATCAAAGGATTAGTCTAATAGCATCTTTTTGAGCTGGGACAGAGTTTGCCGTTTCTATGAAATGACCATGATACAGATCTCTGAGGAAGCATCAGACAAATTCAGATTTACAACCTGTCCCCGCCCCTGCCCCAGAAAGCCCACACACCTCATCCCAGGTCAGGCAGGGTCCCCCTGAAGTGGGACTGCAAAGCCACCTCTGTGCTTTTCCCAGGCTGCCCCGCCGGCGCCGCCTCACCCCGTCCCGGGCACCTGGCCGCCCCTCCCACCACAACACCCCTGGCTCCCTCGGGGGACTCCAAGCCTGCATTTCCGGGGGCTTCCACGCTGCTGGGGGGTGCTCTGAAGAGTTCCCTGGGGACACGGGGATGGCGGGCTGCTCCCGAGTATCCCAAAGACGCCAGCAACCCTCGCTCACTGGGCCACGGCAGGACGTTGGTCCAGTCCGGCTCTGGAATCTGATGTTTGATGCGGAACAGGTGACTGAGCTGTCTTGGGTCTGGCCGGGCCTATTTGGCTCACGTGAGTGTTAGGCTGACACTGGAGAACAAGGCAGGCAAAAGCCTTCATTTACAGAAACCCCATACCTGGACTTCAAGGAAATGTCACTGAAACACAAGCCCCTCTCGGCGCTGCTTGAGGCACCCGCGGCCTTACGGTGTTGGGAGAGGCCCCCGCAGGGAAGCGGCTGCTCTGGGGTCTGTCTCCACCCTTCCAGATCCCCAGGCACGGAGGCACCATCCAGGCACAGCACAGACCTATTTCTGAGCTTCCTAGGAGTCAAGGACATTGTTACTGTCCAACTTACGTATTCTTCTCCCTTTCATACCCTTCTGTGCTGTACTATATTTAACACTTTAAAAGGAAGTTAGGGAGACTGGAGAAAGCCTGAGAGCGAGCTACTAGAAACGGGGACAGGCTAGAGGAATGGGGTTTGCGCTCAGGGCAGCATGGCCAACAACAAGCCGGGGCCAGGGCAGTGAGTCCAAGACCCTGCAGCCACTCGGCTGGCTTCCACTGGACACTGTGCCCTTGACAGCCAAGGGCATCTGCTTTTCTGCCTTGTTGAATCTCTGCAGAGCTCATTACATACACACGAATGCAGATTTCCCATGGTTAAAGCTGGCAACAATCCCCTTAATAGCTTCAGCTGGGCTACATTTGATTTTTTTTTTTTTTAAATTCCAGATAAAAGGCCAGGCACCGAGGCTCATGCCTGTAATCCCAGCACTTTGGAAGGCCGAGACAGGTGGATCACCGGAGGTCAGGGGTTCAACACCAGCCTGGCCAACATGGTGAAATACCGCGTCTACTAAAAATACAAAAATTAGCCAGGCGTGGTGGCAAGCGCCTGTAACCCCAGCTACTCGGGAGGCTGAGGCAGAAGAATCGCTTGAACCTGGGAGGCACAGGTTGCAGTGAGCTGAGATCGCACCACTGCACTCCAGCCTGGGCAACAAGAGCGAAACTCCATCTCCAAAACAAACATTCCAGATACAATGTGGAATCGGCAGCGTCACGCCTGCCCTCCCACTGCTGGAGGCATGGGTGCTCTGTCAGGGTGCTCATGAGCAAGGCTTCCTCATTCCCACACGTGGACCTTTCCATTCAGAGACAGCAGTGTCTGCCTCTCAAACCCTGACTTTCCAGCACTAATTACAAATAACAATTTAATGGCACAAAGCAAGCTTGTCCAACCCACAGCCCGCGGGCTGCATGCAGCCCAGGATGGCTTTGCATGAGGCCCAACACACATTCGTAAACTTTCTTAAAACATTATGGGCCGGGCGCGGTGGCTCATGCCTATAATCCCAACACTTTGAGAGGCCGAGGTGGGCGGATCACCTGAGGTCAGGAGTTCAAGACCAGCCTGGCCAACATGGCAAAATACAAAAACTAGCTGGGCGCAGTAGTGCGCACCTGTAATCCCAGCTACTCGAGAGGCTGAAGCAAGAGAATCGCTTGATCCCGGGAGGCAGAGGTTGTGTGTGGTGAGCTGAGATCGCGCCACTGCACTCCAGCCTGGGCAACAGAGCAAGATTCCGTCTCATAAAACAAAAAAAAATTATGAGATTTTTAATGTGTGGCCCAATTCCTCTTCTTGCAGTGTGGCCCAGGGAAGAGAAAAGATTGGACACCCCGGCATAAAGCCTTCCTCCCATTCTGCAGTGGCGTGGGATCAGGGAACAGAAACTCATTTTCATCCTACTGTTGTGGGGAACCATTCAGTACTTCCTACAGGGCAGGAGGACGCCAACATGCGACCACCTTCCTCCCCTCGCCGACCTCCGACTCCCGCCCAGCCCAGGCGCCCCCCAGGCTCCTGGAGGTTGCTCCGCGTTGCTGTTGCTGCAGGTGAAGGGACACAGGTTGAGGCCCCTCCTTGTAGGACTTCTGAGCCTCACCCCCGAGCCCTCGTAAGATACCTGTGGAGCTGATCTCAAAGAAATCTCCACATCTAATTCAGAACCATCATCTCACCAGAACACAACGGCCTTGCTCCTGCCTGGGTGCTGTACCATGATGGCACCACAATGGTCCAAGTGACCACCACCTTTGCTGGAACGGCTGCATGCACACAGCACTGGGCACAACCACGTCTGCAAGTGCCCATGACTGTTCACCATGTCAGCCCTCAGCACGGCAGCAGGGGGCAGCAGCACCATGAATATCCTCCAGCCAACTGACCCTGCCGCACCCCCAGAGGGCACGATGCCCATTCCCAGCCTCCCTGAGCACAACCGCTGTCCTGATGCTCTGAAAGGGATGATATTTGGCTTTTTACTACTGGCCTGGGGGCCAGAAGCAGGGGCTCACGCCTAGAGTCCCAGCACTCTGGGAGGCTGACTGGGCGAATATCTTGAGACCACGTGTTCAGGACCAGCCTCGGCAACAAAACAAGATGCTGTCTCTATAAAAAACACAAAACCTAGTTGAGCACGGTGGCTTACGTCTGTAATCCCAGCACTTTGGGAGGCCAAGGAGGGTGGATCACCTGAACGCAGGAGTTCAAAACCAGCCTGGCTAATAACGGCGAAACTCCATCTCAACTAAAAATACAAAAATTAGCCAGACGTGGTGGCGCGTGCCTGTAATTCCAGCCACTTGGGAGACTGAAGCAGGACAATCGCTTGCACCCGGGAGGCGGAGGTTGCAGTGAGCCGAGATTCTGCCACTGCACTCCAGCCTGGGTGACAGAGTGAGACTCAACAACAACAACAAAAGACTGCCTCTGGAGTCAATACCAGGCTTTTGGCCTTTCCTCCTCCATCTCCTCAGCAACTGCCTCTGGTGTGAATACCAGGCTTTTGGCCTTTCCTCCTCAAATCGCCTCAGCAACTGCCTGTGGAATGAATACGAAGCTTTTGGCCTTTCCTCCTCCATCTCCTCAGCGACTGCCTCTGGACTGATAAATCAGGCTTTTGGCCTTTCCTCCTCCAACTCCTCAGCGACTGCCTCTGAAGTGAATATCAGGCTTTTGACCCTTCCTCCATCTCCTCAGCGACTGCCTCTGGAGTGAATACCAGGCTTTTGGCCTTTCCTTCTCCATCTCCTCAGCAGTTTTTCTTGCGAAGGTCCGGTCTGCTGGACTCTAGGAGACGGCCACATCACGGAAAGCACTGTGGTCCTGTCTGCTACCATGGCTTCCTGAAGCTATATGTTCATTTAAGATGTCTCAAGAAAACGGACAAAATAGGGCCGAGTGCCATGGCTCCCGCCTATAATCCCAGCTCTTTGGGAGGCTGAGGTGGGCGGATCACGTGAGGCTGGGAGTTCAAGACCAGCCTGACCAACATGAAGAAACCCCATCTCTACTAAAAATACAAAAATTAGCCAGGCGTGGTGGCACATGCCTGTATTCCCAGCTACTCAGGAGGCTGAGGCAGAAGAATCCCTTGAACCCAGGAGGCAGAGGTTGCGGTGAGCCGAGATCACGCCATTGCACTCCAGCCTGGGCAACAAGAGCGAAACTCTGTCTCAAGAAAAAAAGAAAAAGAAAAAAAAGAAAAAAAGTTCACTTTTGTAGCCACCAGAGAAAAGAAAAAAAAAAAGGAAAATGAAACCTACTGTGTCTGGGCCACCCTGAAGGAGTGTGAAGCAGTATCCACCCCAAGCCATGGCACTGAGAGGAGGAAGACAGAAACGGTATCACATTCGGAGCCTCTAAGTCCTGACTCCAGCTATTCACACCGAGAGGAGGAGGACAGGGCGTCACACTCGGTCACTCTGAGTCCTGGCTCAGCTATTCACACCGAGAGGAGGAGGACAGGGCGTCACACTCGGTCACTCTGAGTCCTGGCTCAGCTATTCACACCGAGAGGAGGAGGACAGGGCGTCACACTCGGTCACTCTGAGTCCTGGCTCAGCTATTCACACCGAGAGGAGGAGGACAGGGCGTCACACTCGGTCACTCTGAGTCCTGGCTCAGCTATTCACACCGAGAGGAGGAGGACAGGGCGTCACACTCGGTCACTCTGAGTCCTGGCTCAGCTATTCACACCGAGAGGAGGAGGACAGGGCGTCACACTCGGTCACTCTGAGTCCTGGCTCAGCTATTCACACCGAGAGGAGGAGGACAGGGCGTCACACTCGGTCACTCTGAGTCCTGGCTCAGCTATTCACACCGAGAGGAGGAGGACAGGGCGTCACACTCGGTCACTCTGAGTCCTGGCTCAGCTATTCACACCGAGAGGAGGAGGACAGGGCGTCACACTCGGTCACTCTGAGTCCTGGCTCAGCTATTCACACCGAGAGGAGGAGGACAGGGCGTCACACTCGGTCACTCTGAGTCCTGGCTCAGCTATTCACACCGAGAGGAGGAGGACAGGGCGTCACACTCGGTCACTCTGAGTCCTGGCTCAGCTATTCACACCGAGAGGAGGAGGACAGGGCGTCACACTCGGTCACTCTGAGTCCTGGCTCAGCTATTCACACCGAGAGGAGGAGGACAGGGCGTCACACTCGGTCACTCTGAGTCCTGGCTCAGCTATTCACACCGAGAGGAGGAGGACAGGGCGTCACACTCGGTCACTCTGAGTCCTGGCTCAGCTATTCACACCGAGAGGAGGAGGACAGGGCGTCACACTCGGTCACTCTGAGTCCTGGCTCAGCTATTCACACCGAGAGGAGGAGGACAGGGTGTCACACTCGGTCACTCTAAGTAAGTCCTGGCTCAGCTATTCACACTGAGAGGAGGAGGACAGGGTGTCACACTCGGTCACTCTAACTAAGTCCTGGCTCAGCTATTCACACTGAGAGGAGGAGGACAGGGTGTCACACTCAGAGCCTCTGAGTCCTGGCTCAGCTATTCAAGTAATGGCTTTATGAATGACACGTCCGATACACAGCTTTAGAGAAAGGGAACACATCGCTTCTAACACTTCCTGACATTTCTTCTAACTCCTGACATTTTCAGATGCACGGGATGTTCACTGCAACAGCTGCTTCCAGCTGAGAAAGGGGCCGCCCTTTCTAACGTTTTAAAAGGCTTGGCTGTCTACCAAACGGGATTTTAAGGATAAAGGGATTTCATGCCACATTTCTCTCATAGAAATACATAAAATTACTAATAAAATTCAAAGCCCAGCCTTTCAGGGCAGGGACCCAGCTGACGCAGCAGCATCAGACACTCTGGCTGCCAAATGAGCAGGGGAGAGAGGCAGCCAGGTGACATAGCAGGGACAGGTGACGTAGCAGGGAGATGGAGCCAGGAAGGCTTCTCCTGGAGGCAGCCCCAGGCCACCAGACATGGGCGGCCACACCGTGGTAGCAGGCTGCAGTCACCCTGGCCAGAGCTGACAAAGTGGCTGGAAAATGAGGGGAGAAACCCTAGAAAGGAGCAAGCACAGAGAGAGGACACTCCCATCCAGCACATAAACGCTCCCCACGTCCTTGTTTGACCCTGAGCTGATGACACAGCATGTGGGGAAGACTCAGCAGAAATGGACGGCTGAAGACCGAGAACACTGAGCAGAGACTGCGGCTGCTGCTCACCACCTGAAAGTCTGGAGTTTGAACCTTCACAAGTTAGAGGCTTAAAAACACCACGGACTTCCCAGGAACATCCAGAAAACCACAGCTTCGCAGATCCAAGACTAAGGATGTGTCAGGCAGAAGAAAAAGCCAGACAGACCTGCCCTAACAGCATCAACACTGATCCTCTTCAGGGTGATCCATAAGAATTCAGCCTGCGAGAACAAAGCCCAACACTCTTCAGGGGAAGACAACAGAATCCAACAAAATTCAGAGTCTCTACCATATAAACTCTACCATATAAACAGTATATAAACTAAAATTCCAACACACAATCAGGAAGTACTGGACGTGTGAAGAAGGGATAACAGGATCCATGATGAAGGGAAAAAGTAGCCAAAAGAAGCAGATCCTGAGGCTGGGCACGGTGGCTCACACCTGTAATCCCAGGCGGGCAGATCACGAGGTTAGGAGATTGTGAACATCCTGGCTAACATGGTGAAACCTCCTCTCTACCAAAAATACAGAAAATTAGCCAGGAGTGGTGGCATGCACCTGTAGTCCCAGCTACTCGGGAGGCTGAGGCAGGAGAATCACTTGAACCCGGGAGGCAGAGGTTGCAGTGAGCTGAGATCGTGCCACTGCACTCCAACCCTGGGCGACAGAGCAAGACTCCGTCTCAAAACAAAACAAAACAACAAAGTATTAGCCAGGTGTGGTGGTGCACACTTGTAGTCCCATCTACTTGGAAGGCTGAGGCAAGAGATCGCTTGAACCTGGGAGGTAGAGCTTGCAGTGAGCTGAGATCGTGTCACTGCACTCTAGCCTGGAGAGCAAGACTCTGTCTCCAAAAAAAAAAAAAAAAAAAAAAAAGAAAAAAAGAAATAGTTATAGCCAGGAGCAGTGGTTCATGCTGGTAATCCCAGTACTTTAGGAGGCCAAGGAAGGTGGGTTGCTTGAGTCCAGGAGTTCAAGACCAGCCTGAGAAACATAGTGAAACCCCATCTATACAAAACAAACAAAAAAATAGCTGGGCATGGTGGTACACATGTGTAGTCCCAGCTACTCAGAAGGCTGAGGTAAGAGGATCGCTTGAGCCAAGGAGTTTGCGGCCAGCCTGGGCATCATGGTGAAACCCCAGCTAAAAATTGGCCGGGAGTAGTGGCCAGTGCCGGTAGTCCTAGCTACTCTGGAGGCTAAGGGAAGATCACCTGAGCCCAGGAACTCAAGGCTGCATTGAGATGTGACCACAACACTGCTTCTTAGCCTCGGTGACAGACAGTGACCCTGTCTCAAAAAAGAAAGAAAAAAGAAGGAAGGAAGGGAGGGATGGAGGGAGGGAGGGAGGAAGGAAGGAAGGAAGGAGAGAGGGAGGGAGGGAGGGAAGGAGGGAAGGAGGAAAAGAGGAAAGGAAGGAAGGAAGGAAGGAAGGCAGGTAGGCAGGCTGGCCAGAAGATGATGGAAAGACATCTTTAAACTGGTGAATGATAAAAAGTGACAACCCAGGTAGGTCATGCCTATAATCCCAGCACTTTGGGAGGCCGAGGCAGGTGAATCACCTGAGGTCGGTCAGGTGTTCAAGACCGGTCTGGCCAACATGGCAAAACCCTGTCTCTAATAAAAAAATACAAAAAATTAGCTGGGCATGGTGGTGTGTGCCTGTAATTCCAGCTACTCAGGAGGCTGAGGCAGGAGAATCGCTTGAACCAGGGAGTCGGAGGTTGCAGCGAACCGAGATGGCATCACTGCACTCCAGCCTGGTGACAGAGTGAGACTTTGTCTCAAAAAATAATAAATAAATAAATAGGCCGGCGTGTTAGCTCATGCCTGTAATCCCAGCACTTTGGGAGGCCCAGGCGGGTGGATCACTTGAGCCCAGGAGTTCAACACCAGCCTGAGCAACATGGCGAAACCCCGTCTCTACCAAAAATACAAAAATTAGCTGGGTGTGGTGGCGCACGCCGATAGTCCCAGCTACTCAGGAGGCTGAGGCAGGAGAATTGCTTAAACCTGGGAAATGGAGGTTGCAGTGAGCGGAGATTGTGCCACTGCACTCCAGCCTGGAAAACAAGAGCGAGACTCTGTCTCAAAAAAATATATATATGTAAGTGACAACCCAGAATTCCATGTCACTCAAAAACGTCCCTCAAAAATAAAGGTGAAAGAGGGACATTACAGACAAAAACAGAGAATTCATGGCCAACAGACCTATATGAAAAGAAAAGCTGAAAGTACATCTTTAGGTTGAAGAAAAACAAGATTTGGACCACACTATGAACCACCTTGACCTAATGACATTACAGAAAACGAAAACCAATGACTGAATAAAACTCTTTTCAAGTGTATATGCAATATTCACCACGAAAAGTATATACATGATCATAAAACACATCTTTTTGTTTTTTTGAGACAGGGTCTCATTCTGTTGCCCAGGCTGGAGCACAGTGGCGTGATCACAGCTCGCTGCAACCTCTACCCCTGGGCTCCAGTGATCCGGCTAATGAAGGAAACATTTTGGCCGGGCACAGTGGTTCATGCCTGTAATCCCAGCACTTTGGGAAGCTGAGGTGGGTGGATGGCTTGAGCTCAGGAGTTTGAGATCAGCCTGGCAACACAGTGAGACCCTCTCTCTATGAAAAATACAAAAATTAGCCAAGCATGGTGGCACATGCCCATAGTCCCAGCTACTTGGGGGGCTGAGGCAAGAGGATTGCTTGAGCCTGGGAACTTGAGGCTGCAGTGAGCCGAGGTCACACCTCTGTACTCCAGCCTGGGTGACAAAGTGAAACCCTTTAAAAAAAAAGTTTTTTGTTTTTTTTTAGACAGAGTCTCGCTCTGTAGCCCAGGCTGGACTGCAGTGGTGCAATCTCGGCTCACTGCAAGCTCTGCCTCCTGGATTCATGCCATTCTCCTGCCTCAGCCTCCTGAGCAGCTGGGACTATAGGCGCCCGCCACCATGCCTGGCTAATGTTTTGTATTTTTAGTAGAGACGGGGTTTTACTGTGTTAGCCAGGATGGTCTCGACCTCCTGACCTTGTGATCTGCCCGCCTCGGCCTCCCAAAGTGCTGGGATTACAGGCGTAAGCCACTGCACCCGACCCTTTTTTTTTTTTTTTTGTACAGACAGGGTCTCACAATGTCCAGGCTTGTCTCAAACTCCTGGCCTCAAGACCTTGGCCTCCCAAAGTGCTGGGATTACAGGTGTGAGTCACCATGCCTGGCCGAAATAAATCGTAATCAATTTAAAAGAACTGAAATCAGAGTATATTTTCTAAGCATATTGGAGTTGAATTAGAAATCAGTTGTGGTAGGAAATCTAGAAAATCAACTGGGTGCAGTACCTCACACCTGTCATCTCAGCACTTTGGGAGGCCGAGGTGGGCAGATCACCTGAGGTCAGGAGCTCAAGACCAGCCTGACCTAAATGGTGAAACCCTGTCTCTACTGAAAATACAAAATTAGCTGGGCGTGGTGGCGCATGCCTGTAATCTCAGCTACTTGAGAGGCTGAAGCAGGAGACTCTCTTGAACCTGGGAGGTGGAGGTTATGGCGAGCCGAGATTGTGCCATTGGATTCCAGCCTGGGCAACAAGAGCGAAACTTGTCTCAAAAAAAAAAGAGGCCAGGTGCGGTGGCTCATGCCTGTAATCCCAGCACTTTGGGAGGCTGAGGCAGGAGGATCACCTGAGGTCAGGAGTTCAAGACCAGCCTGACAAACATGGTGAAACCTCGTCTCTACTTAAAACACAAAAATTAGCTGGGCATGGTGGCATGTGCCTGTAATCCCAGCTATTCGGGAGGCTGAGGCAGGAGAATCACTTAAACCTGGGAGGCGAAGGCTACAGTGAGCCGAGATTGCATCAGTGTACTCCAGCCTGGGTGACAGTGTGAGACTGTCTCAAAAAAAAAAAAAAAAAAAAAAGAAACCCCATCTTTACAAAAAATACAAAAATTAGCCAGGCATGGTGGCGCAAGGCTGCAGTGAACCAAGATCATGCCACTGCACTCCAGCCTGAGTGACAGAGTGAGATGCTGCCTCAAAAGAGAAAAGAAAAAAAAAAAAATGAGAGCAGTGACTGTCCATGGGGCAGGGGACCGATGGAAGGGGACATGAGTGGTGCTTCTGCAGGGATTGAAATGGTCTCATGACCAGGTTCATGCATTCATCAAAACTCACTACATTTTATGGTGGAGATTGAGGCACTTTGCTGTACATACAGTTTACCTCAATTACCAAAAAAGACCAAAAGGACACACAGTAAGTGTTCACGGTCATTATCTTTGGGTGCAGGGTTATAGATTTTTTTGCCTTTAAACTTTCTTTTCCTCTATAAATTTCAGCATTAAGTAGCTGTTTGTTTGGAAGTATACTTTTTTTTTTTTTTTTAAAGTATTTTTTTGGCCAGGTGCGGTGGCTCACACCTGTAATCCCAACACTTTGGGAGGCCAAGGCAAGTAGAACACTTGAGGCCTGGAGTTTAAGACCAGCCTCGCCAACATGGCGAAACCTCTTCTCTCCTAAAATACCAAAAAATAGCTGGGCGTGGTTGCACATACCTGTAATCCCAGCTATCTGGGAAGCTGAGGCACAAGAATCGCTTGAACCTGGGAGATGGAGGCTGCAGTGAGCCGAGATCACACCACTGCACTCTAGCCTGGGTGACACAGCAAGACCATCTCAAAATATATATATATCTTTTTCTTTATTTTTTTCCTTTTTAATTTCTTTTTTCTTTTTGTTTTTTTGTTTTTTTTTTTTTTGAGACGAGGTCTCACTCTGTTGCCCAGGCTGGAGTACAGTGGTGTGATCACGGCTCACTGCAACATCAACCTCCTAGGCTCAAGCAATCCTCACGTTTCAGCCTCTTGACTGGCATGTCACCACACCTGGCTAATGTTTTTTTTTTTTTTTTTTTTTGAGACAGAGTCTCACTTTGTCACCCAGGCTGGAGTGCAGTGGCGCGATCTCGGCTCACTGCAATCTCCACCTCCCGGGTTCACGCCATTCTCCTGCCTCAGCCTCCCAAGGAGCTGGGACTACAGGCGCCCGCCACCACGCCCGGCTAATTTTTTGTATTTTTAGTAGAGATGGGGTTTCACCATGTTAGCCAGGATGGTCTCGATCTCCTGACCTCGTGATCCGCCCGCCTCGGCCTCCCAAAGTGCTGGGATTACAGGCGTGAGCCACCGCGCCTGGACTTTTTGTTTTTTGAGACAGAGTCTTGCTCTGTCGCCAGACTGGAGTGCAGTGGCCCGATCTCAGCTCACTGCAACCTCTGCCTCCTGGGTTCAAGTGAGTCTCCTGCCTCAGCCTCCTAAGTAGCTGAGACTACAGGTGCCCACCACCACACCCAGCTAATTTTTATATTTTTTTGTAGAGACGGGGTTTCACCATGTTGTCCAAGCTGGTCTCAAACTCCTGGGCTCAAAAGATCCTCCCACCTCAGCCTCTCAAAGCACTGAGATTACAAGTGTGATCCACTGTGCCCAGTGAAAAAGTATTTTAAAATTATCTTTGTCTTCAGGAGTAGAAACACTTTTCTTCCTTGAAAGAAAATTAATGCTGGGTCCAGTGGCTCACGCCTGTAATCTCAGCACTTTGGGAGGCTGAGGCAGGAGGATCTCTTGAGCCCAGGAGTTTGAGACCACCTTGGGCAACACGGCAAGACCCAGTCTCTACAAAAAATAAAAAATAAAAAAATAAATTAGGCAAGCGTGGTGGCATGCACCCGTATTTCCAGGAGTTTGAGCCTACAATGAGCCATGAGCCTAGGCAAGAGTGAGACCTTACCTCTTAAAAAAAAAAAAAAAAAAAAAAAACACAAAAAACCCTAATCACATATTGATCAGTCATTTAAAAAATTAAGAATCTAAAAAGCTCTTCTGCTCGCCTGTCACCATTAAGACATGCCTTTCCTCCCGCTTTGCCATCTGCCATGATGGTGAGACCTCCCCAGCCATGTGGAGCTGCAGTGTCACTGTCATTACCTCAATAGTCATTGAGTGGTGTTGCTGGTGTTTGGAGCTGTGGCATACCTAATGACCATGCATTCCTCCTATGGAAGGCTTCTGGACAATCACCACTACAGGTCCTGGGGAAACTACACAAACCCCTAACATAGAATACGGCCTGGGATGAGAATCACTGTTTGTTATGTGCTTGTCTGGTAGAATCCGTAACAAACCCCTAACATCGAATACGACCTGGGTTGAGAATCACTGTTCATTATGTGCTTGTCTAGTAGAATCCGTAACAAACCCCTAACATCGAATACGACCTGGGTTGAGAATCACTGTTCATTATGTGCTTGTCTAGTAGAATCCGTAACAAACCCCTAACATTGAATACGGCCTGGGTTGAGAATCACCGTTCATTATGTGCTTGTCTAGTAGAATCCGTAACAAACCCCTAACATTGAATACGGCCTGGGATGATAATCACTGTTCGTTATGTGCTTGTCTAGTAGAATCTATAACAAGTACCTGATGTGCACTGAATGACAGAAAAATTTAAAAATTAAAAAATAAATAGGCCGGGCAAGGTGGCTCATGCCTGTAATCCCAGCACTTTGGGAGACTGAGGTGGGTGAATCACCTGAGGTCAGGGGTTCGAGACCAGCCTGGCTAACATAGTGAAACCCCGTCTCTACTAAAAATACAAAAAATCAGCCAGGTGTGGTAGCACATGCCTGTAATCCCAGCTATTCCGGAGGCTGAGGCAGGAGAATCACTTGAACCCGGGAGGAGGAAGCTGCAGTGAGCTGAGATTGTGCCATTGCACTCCAGCCTGAGCGACACAGCAAGACTCCGTCTCAAAAAAAAAAATTTTTTTTAAATAGATAAATAAATAAATACGTATAATCCCAGCACTTTAAGACGCTCAGGTGGGTAGATCACTTGGGGTCAGGAGTTTAAGACCAGCCTGGCCAACATGGTGAAACCCTGTCTGTACTAAAAATACAAAAATTAGCCAGGCATGGCAGCAGGCGCCTGTAGTCCCAGCTACTTGGGAGGCTGAGGCAGGATAATTGCTTGATCCCAGGAAGTGGAGGTTGCAGTTAGCCAAGATCGTGCCACTGCACTCCAGCCTGGGTGATGGAGCGAGACTCCGTCTCAAAAAATAAAATAAAGTAAAATAAAGCAGCAGCTGAAAAAAAAATAATGATAATAAAATAAATACATAAATAAAAAGTTCTTCTATAAAAAGTAGAAGCTGGGCATGGTGGCTCACATCTGCAATCCCAGTACTTTAAGAGGCTGAGGCGGGTGGATCACCTGAGCTCAGGAGTGTGAGATCAGCCTGGGCAACATGGTAAAACCCCGTCTCTACCAAAAATACAGAAAATTAGCCAGGTGTGGTGGTGGGTGCCTGTAGTCCCAGCTACTTGGGAGGCTGAGGCACAAGAATCGCTGGAGCCCGGGAGGCAAAGGTTGCAGTGAGCCGAGATTGTGCCACTGCATTCTAGCCTGGGCGACAGAGTGACAGCCTGTTCCACAAATAAAAATAAAAATAGAAAGTAGAAAAGAAATGGGGGAAAACGTTTCTTACATAGATTTGGTGGGAAAAATATGAATTTGACTTTTGTTTACAAACCAAAGTCCACGTTACCGTACCCGAAAAAGCAGCTACAACAAAATCCATCCCTGTCCTTTCCTGTGGCCTTCAGAGCTCCCCATCTGTGCTGAGCAGACAGGCGCCCTCCTCTCTCACCTTCTCGTCCCCGTGCCCTGTGACACACGGTACCTGTCTGCTGGGTTTGGGCTATGAGAAGTAGCTGAGAAACCTCCACCCTCTCTCCAGTTTACTCTGGCTCTAGTAATTTCTATCTACCCTATTCATGTCACCCACCTGAACCTTTATATTACCTCAAAGTCTTCAATCTAAGTAAAGGGTTCATATGAAGTAGAGACTCCATATGAAAAGAGGCCGAAGGGGCCTAAGTGACCTTTTGCTTGTGCTGCAGTAATAGGAAGCTACAGAAAACATGGGCACTACGCCCTGTGAGCCTCCCACCATGCACAGGAGCCGCCTTCTGAAGAACGTGCCAGAAGCTGGGAGGTCTTTGTGACAGCAGATGGACGGAGCTCGGCTCCCAGGAAGGGGCTCAGCATTCGCCCTGCCAGTCGCTGATACTCAGAGACTCAATAGATGATGTTCTCCAAACTTCATAAAATATAAGCACATTTCACTACAGGAAGACAAAGGATGAATAATGCCTAGAAAACGTGAGTATTCACAACGGCCGATGCGCACAAAATTGTTTCCCTTTCTGAAACAAAGCAACCTTATTTACAAAAACCAAAACCACCTTAACAACAATAGCTGTCACTTTTCTTTAGGAAAAGCTTCATTTGTAAATGACTCTCCACAGCTCCCTTTTCCAGAAAGGTGGGGCAGGGGCCTTGTGAGCCAAGGTGGGTCTTACGCAGCTGGGCACAGGCACCAGGGTGGCCTGGGGTTACTCAGCACAGGTCGTGTCTTCCCATTTGTTCCAAGGTTACCTCCTTCCGCTCTGCGTCAGCGTGGATCTTGGCCTGGTTTGTGGCAGCTTCTCGGTAGGTGCTGGCATGCTTGGCTTGCTCAAACAGCGTCTTCAGCTGCTGCGCTGTGTTGAGCAAGGAGTTGACCATCTCTTCTAGGTACAGCCAGCTCCGCGGCTCTGACAGCTCCAGCCCATTGACCAACGCGGGAGGTGCCGTTTTGGTGGGAGTCGGGGGTGGGACCGCCAGCGCAGGCAGGGATGTCAACACTAGAGCATTTGGAAAGCAAAACAAACCAAGAAATTAATACATCTCCTAGCTTCAAAATGGCCTCCGTTAAAAATTCTCAGCCGGGCGCGGTGGCTCACGCCTGTAATCCCAGCACTTTGGGAGGCCAAGGCAGGCGGATCATGAGGTCAGGAGATCGAGACCATCCTGGCTAACAGTGAAACCCCGCGTTTCACTGTGTTTAAAAAAATACAAAAAAATACAAAAAATTGGCTAAAAAAAATACAAAAAATTAGCTGGACGTGGTGGTAGACGCCTGTAGTCCCAGCTACCTCGGGAGGCTGAGGCAGGAGAAAGGTGTGAAGCCGGGAGGCAGAGCTTGCAGTGAACAGAGATGGCACCACTGCACTCCAGCCTGGGCAGAGTGAGACTCCATCTCAAAAAAATAAACAAATAAAATTTAAAAATAAAAAATAAATAAAAATTCTCATCACCCGGTGCAGTGGCTCATGCCTGTAATCCCTGCACTTTGGGAGACTGAGGTGGGAGGATCACTTGAGCTCAGGAGTTCAAGACCAGCCTGGGCAACATAGCAGGACCTTGTCTCTACAAAACAGAAATCAAAAACAAAGAACTAGCTGGGCATGGTGACATTCACCTGTGATCCCAGCTACTCAGGAAGCTGAGGCGGGAGGATGGTTTGAGCCCAGGTGGTCGAGGCTACAGTGAGCCATGACTGCGCCACCGTCCTTCGGCCTTGGTGACTTAATGAGACCCTGTCTCAAAAAGAAAAGAGGCCAGGCACAGTGGCTCACACCTGTAATCCCAGCACTTTGGGAGGCCGAGGCGGGCAGATCCCTTGAGGTCAGGAGTTCGAGGCTAGCCTGGTCAACATGGTGAAACCCCATTTCTACCAAAAAATACAAAAATTAGCTAGGCGTGGAAGCGTCTATAATCCCAGCTACCTGGGAGGCTGAGGCATGAGAATCATTTGAACCTGGGAGGCAGAAGTTGTGGTGAGCCGAGATGGTGCCAGTGGACTCAAGCCTGGGTGACAGAGTGAGACTCCATCTCAAAAAAGAAAAGAAAAGAAAACTCTCACGCAATGTTGGGAAGTCGGGTAAAAAACTGACCAGCAAACAACAAATCACTGCCTGACATCCCCCCAGCACCTGACACCCCCCAGCACCTGACATCCCCCAGCACGCAGCCTGACATCCCCCGGCACCCGACATCCCCCGGGGCACCCGACACCCCCCAGCACCCGACACCCCCCAGCACCCGACAACCCCCAGCACCCGACACCCCCCAGCACCCGACATCCCCCCCAGCACCTGACACCCCCCAGCATCTGACATCCCCCAGCACCCGACACCCCCAGCACCTGACATCCCCCCAGCATCTGACATCCCCAAGCACCTGACATCCCCCAGCACTCAGCCTGACATCCCCCAGCACCCGATACCCCCAGCACCTGACATCCCCCCAGCACCTGACATCCCCCAGCACGCAGCCTGACATCCCCCCAGCACCCGACACCCCCAGCACCCGACATCCCCCCAGCACCTGACATCCCCAAGCACCTGACATCCCCGAGCACTCAGCCTGACATCCCCCCAGCAGGCAACACAGGCAGGAGGATGTCCCATCCCTTCCTGCTCCACCCACCCAGCTCCATGTTGTACAACTCATCTGAATGCGGCTGCTGGACCCTGAAATGTTCGCAGAATCAGCGCCGTGGACAATGACCAGGGGAGGGAAGTGGCTAAATCAGAGTCTCGCTGTGTCGCCCAGGCTGGAGGGCGGTGGCATCATCTTGGCTCACTGCCCTCCCGGGTTCAAGTGATTCGCCTGCCTCAGCCTCCCGAGTAGCTGGGATTACAGGCATCTGCCACCAGGCCTGGGTAATTTTGTATTTTTAGTAGAGATGGGGTTTCTCCACGTTGGTCAGGCTGGTCTCGGACTCCTGACCTCAGGTGATCCACCCGCCTCGGCCTCCCAAAGTGCTGGGATTACCGGCGTGAGCCACCACGCCCAGCGGGGTTTCTTACAATTGGAGAAGAAAGTTACAAAGGAACTAGCACAAACCCTGAGGTTCTGCACTGGAACTAGAGACACTGGGGCAAACTCATGGTTTTCAACACACACAGATTTGGAGCACAAACACGCACACGTGCACATGAGAACATTTCTGACTTCTGCCCACCAAGGGCACCTGGGGACAGAGATCCAGGAGCCACATGCACACCTTGTACCAGGGGCAAGCGGTCGATGCGAACCCCAGCCCTCCTGGAGAAAAAGCTCTGATTTCAAGCATTTGCTGATTTCTTGGTATAAATACTTCACCAACACCCACCCCACACTTTTTTTTTTTTTCCAGTTAATAGAGATGGGGTCTCCTTATGTTGCCCAGGCCGGTCTCAAACTCCTGGCCTCAGCCTCCTAAAGTGCTGGGATTAAACAGGTGAGCCACACGCCTGTAATCCAAGCACTTTGGGAGGCCAAAGCAGGCAGATCACAAGGTCAAGAGATCAAGACCATCCTGGCCAACACGGTGAAACCCCATCTCTACTAAAAATACAATAACAAAAAAAAATTAGCTGGGCATGGTGGCGTGCACCTGTAGTCCCAGCTACTCAGGAGGCTGAGGCAGGAGAATTGCTTAAACCTGGCAGGCAGAGGTTGCAGTGAGCCGAGATCGCACCACTGCACTCCAGCCTGGGCGACAGAGTGACACTCTGTCTCAAAAAAAAAAAAACAAAAAACGTATAATTATACAGAAATCTTGGCTGCATGTGGTGGCTCACACCTGTAATCCCAGCACTTTGGGAGGCTGAGGCGGATGGATCACTTGAGGTCAGGAGTTCGAGATCTGTAATCCCAGCTACCTGGGAGGCTGAGGCAGGAGAATCACTTGAACCAGGCAGAGGTTGCAGTGAGCCAAGATTGCGCCACTGCACCCCAGCCTGGGCAATAGAGCGAGACTCAGTCTCAAAAAAATAGAAGTGCAGTTAAACGAAAAATCAAAGTTAGAATGCATTTACAGTGTATCGTCATTTTAAAGATTTAGGCCACATTTAGGCCTTGGTTTTTCTTTCTTTCACCAGATACCGAATGTCTATGCCAGCTCTGGAGAGACCAAGACCTGCCACTGGGGAGTGTCTACCCTCAAGAGGACAACAGCAAACTCACCAGAAAGAACTTCAGGCTTCACAGGCCAACTGGTTTCTAGGGGCGTGCCCTGCTGCTGTACCAAAAGCAACTTCCACAGCACACACATGAATGGACGTGGCTGTGTGTCAGTAAAACTTTATTTACAAACATAGGCAGTGGGCCACACTTTACCAGCCACTGATCTAATGCATCAACAAAAACAACAAACCAAACCAAAATGAATCCCATTTCACTTAGGAATTCTTTCATTGGAAGCAATTCTGAGGACAATAACCTGTACATGTGTGAATTC